>NC_000002.12:22206725-22358240 GCF_000001405.40 Homo sapiens | reverse complement strand
TTACTCACATGTTTTCACAGCTATGTGGGTGTGTGCTAGGTGGTCATTATGCAGTTCATCAAAACAATCTAGAGTATTTCTTCTGAGAGGTGCATTATTCCTGGGCGATAAGACTGGACTTCAAGACTTCAACATAAAGAGGGTAGACTGCCATATATCTAAACAGAGTTCTAGAGCCAACAATGGGCAAAAGGTAGCATTTGAAATGACAACAGTTGAAAACAATTCCAGAAATATTGACAGATACCAAAGCAGCTCAATAAACCCTAAGAAGATTCATGTGTTTAAAATAGGCAGTTAAAAGTCTTTGTCACCTGAAACCACTATTTAGATTATCTGCAAGTCTGTTTCCATTGCACCTTTTCTCTTGATTTTCAGATACATTGTCCTGCCTCTTAAACATGTTCATGTTTGTGATTTTTTAAGGTAAAAAGAACCACAGAAAGTGTAAATGATGATATATTCTCCCAGGGAATGTTTAATCTGTCGGCAGATAATGAGCAACTGATCACTACAACCAAGGGTTTGCATGTTCTCTTTTGAGATGTGGTCTCCGTAAGGCTCTGTTCACCTTTGAGTTATATCTGTTTGTAGAATATGGCATCCTTGGGCTTTTGACCTAGCTCTGGAAAACAGAGAGGTTCACTACTACCCTCTAGAGTTTTAGTTTTAGTTCTTTAGTTTCCTACTCAAATTCTTCAGGAGAGACTAGTCATAGGTTGACTCCTTCTGGTTGGATTTTGTTTTTAAAACACTGGGAGACCATAAGAGATTTCTTGCTGTTTTTAGCAGCTTTTGATCTAGATACCCATACTCCCATGCCACCACAAATTCAGCAAATGCCCGGGGGAGGAACCAACTGTGTGTTTGGGGGCTCTACTATATTCTAATCTGTTTTATCAACCTGTCTATTAAAAAAAAAAGAAAACAAAAACACTATTTTCTCTTTCCTTTAGTAGACACCCTCAGCTTTTGCCAAGTCTGATTATTGGCCCTCATCCAGAATGGAAAAATACCTTCAAGGGAGAAAAATCTCCTGTGAATTTCAACACATCAAAAATCCAAGTTAACTCCTCCCTGAATTTTAATTCATTTGGTCCTCATTAATTTTGCAGCTCTCTCATGTCTTTTAAAATAGGGTATATATAAGTCATCTATTTTTATTAGCGGTTGCAAACAAACTTTGTTGACTTGATGTGATCTACTGCATTCTACCCCGAAAGAATAACTGAAAAAAATCCACACTTATATCACGTTAAAATGGCAGCAGAGCAAGAATACTAAACCTGGAAAGAGATGGAAAAAGGCCTTGGGGTCTAAGGTGGGGCACATCCAGGTGATAAGTAGGTGAACAGCCAACTCCCTGATAGGCCATAAAAAGTCAACTGGCAGAGTGGTAAAATAGGAAAAAAGCTAGACACAGGAATGAGAAATTTTAGAAAATAATATATGTAAAGAATTAAGCAGGAAAACAACGTTAGGAAAAATTCACAACAGATACTAGATTCAAAAAAATCGGTTTGATTTCAAACATCTTTGTACAGTGGCAAAAGCTGGAATAAGAAAGGCATGACCTTATGTCTAAAGGAGCTGAACTATTGGCAGTGACTGAAGCAAGGTGCAGGTGTTGGAACAGGTGTTATAAGCACAATTTATGTTTCTAGTCCTGTTGCACAGATCAGAGTGAATTCAAAAATGTAACCTGGCTTAATCTTGTAGTTTTTGAGCTCCTTAGCTGAAATTATGCAAAGCCAGATTCTCTTGTCCAAAGGTACAATTATTCTCAGAGCCTGAGACAGAGAGGAAAAACGGACCTGCACACGAGGGCTTCCTTTTCTCCCAAATTCTGCCTTGATGTGGTTTCCTACAACTTACCCTTGATCAGTCCTCTTTGACCCTTATCTGTCACTTGTCTTATTACTTACTTGTGTGTTTTAAAGTGCTACAACTTAGAAGCTGAGTTTAAATCGCATTTCCCTTGGTCAAAAACTTTCTCTGGCAAAGAGAAAAGACTGTAAAGATCAAAATAAATGGAAATCAATACAAAGAAGACATTGAAATTCTGGCCCATTTGCCACTGTCACCTGCATAGGGCAGGCAGGCTGGTATCAAAGAGAAAGTAAGATTTGTTGGTAAAAGGTACAATAAAATTTATAAAGTCAGGGGTCTTCATTGGAGTTGAGTGGTCCCAGCTGTGGCAGTTTGGCCTTTCTCAATGCTGCCCTCTGCTGGCCATAATGTGACCTGCAGGAGATCTCACTAAATGTAGGCTTAATTTACAAGCCTCTGTCCTTCTGCACCCTGCAGGGATAGGGAATGAGGAGTGAAGCTCCGTGGCTTTCTCACTGATGCAAACAAATCAGAGCATCAGGAACCATCTAGAGGGAGACAGGCAGAGCTCCAAGAAAATAACAAGGCAGTTTTTTTGGAAAGTGTGGATAGAACCAAATGAACGACAACCAAGAGTAACTGAACATGCTTTCACAGTAAATGAGGGAGATGATGAAGCTGCCAAGAAGTTCTAGCATGTTAGGCAGTGGGAGGAAACTAGTTGCTATAAGGCAGAACTTTTGAGGGATCAGGATTCCCAAATGTTTCCTGGCTCGTAGCTAGGAAAGGTTTACAATGCTAAGTCTTTGAAGGTACAACTTAGTAGCCAGAGGTGCTAGGTTTTCACCATTTCTAGTGCCAAGATGGTTCCCAAATGGTGGTTTTTTTTCTTAAGTAAAAATCTGGATCAATGGACTCGGGTCCTCCAGGTAAACTGTCCCTGTGGAACCAGCAGTCCTACACTGAACTTAGAAGGAGGCTGGCGACTTCAGTAGCTACAAAATCAACAGGCCAACCTATCCTCACTACCTTCTTCAAAGCTATTGATTCAAGATCGCAAACTGGACGCCCACCAGCCACATGCTAGCAAAGATGTTTCGTGTGTGATGCACCTTCTGTTTTAGTCAGCTTATGCTACAGGAACATAATGCTATCGACAGGTCTTATACAACAAATGCTTACTTCTCTCAGTTCTGGAGGTCGGGGTATCTGAGAGCAGGGTGCCAGCACAGTACGGTTCTGGTGATGACCCTCTTCCTGGCTTGCAGAGGCTGCTTTCTTGCTGTGTCCTCACCTGGGGGAGAGAGAAAGCTTTGGTGTCTCTTCCTCTTTTTATAAAGACACTAATCCCACCATGAGGACTTCACCCTCATAACGTCATCTCAACCTAATTTCCTCCCAAAGGTCCAGTTGCGTCCTATCATCACATTCGGGCTCGGGGCTTCAACATATGAATTTTGGGGAAATGCAAACATTCAGTTTATCACACCTGGCTTTTACGTTGCTATGAATTTGTTACAATTATTTAAAACCAGTTGACCTGTGAACAACATGGTGGTTAGGGGTGCCAACATCCCATGCAGTCAAAAATCTGTATATAAGTTTGACTCCCCCACAACTTAACTACTAATAGCCTACTATTGACCGGAAGCTTTACCAATAGCATACCTGATTTACACATTTTTTTATTATATGTATAATATAATATATTCTTGCAATGAAGTAAGCTAGATAAAAGAACATGTTATTAAGAAAATTATAAGAAAAACAAAAGATGCTTACTATTCATTAAGTGGAAGTGAATCATCATAAAATTATTCATTGTCATCATCTTCACGTGGAGAAGGCTGAGGAGGAGGAGGAAGAGGAGGGGTTGGTCTTGCAGTCTCAGGGATGGTTGAGATGCAGAAAGTCTGCTTGTAAGTGAACCTGGACCCACCCAGTTCAAACCCATGTTGTTCAAGGGTCAACTGTGCTAGAATATTTCACATGAAGCCCAGATTTCCTGCTTTTCTAAAGACTTAGAAGTTATGAAAATATTGGACCCACATTTTGCATGACAACAATTAGATGTAAGTTGCCTACTTTATTTTTTTATGTTTTTTATTTATTTTGAGATGGAGTTTCACTCTTGCTGCCCAGGCTGGAGTGCAGTGGCATGATCTCGGCTCACCGCAACCTCTGCCTCCCAGGTTCAAGTGATTCTCCTGCCTCAGCCTCCTGAGTAGCTGGGATTACAGGCATGCACCAGCACCCCCGGCTAATTTTATATTTTTAGTAGAGACAGGGTTTCTCCATGTTGGTCAGGCTGGTCTCGAACTCCTGACCTCAGGTGATCCGCCCACCTTGGCCTCCCAAAGTGCTGGGATTACAGGTGTGAGCCACCGCACTCAGGCAGTTTTTCTACTTTAAAAGGAGCATTGTGCTGTACCCCATTTTCTTATATCCAACATGCTTCTGTTCCATTCATTTGTATTCCTGACTGAACCTAGTCAGAAATTAAGTTTACAAGCCAGGTACACAATAATTTTTAAAGTTGATATGTCTCACAGAGGCTGCCAAGATAGTTTTGTAAAAAATCTCTGGAGGCAAATGGATTTTCTGTAGGATCGCACATCACCATCACCAATCATGGAATTACTCTCTTTCCAGTCTTCGGTTTGTTAGTTTAGTTGAGTTTGGATTTCTTCTTTGACTTTCTCTGTAGCTCATTTTACTCAGTATTCAAAAATAATGGCTACAGATCAGTTTCCCTTACCCATAAAACCAGGATATAAATCACAACTCATAAGGTTTTATATGAAATTCCATGAGGTAATGCACATAAAAGTTTTCAAATTGTCACTGTAATTCTATCAGTATTTAATAGTGCTATTTGTTGTGTCAATTTTTTTTAAGCTATCCTAAAGCTCAGTGGATTAAAACAACCATTTATTTAACTTACAATTATTTGTGTTGATTGGATAGTTTTTCTGGTCTGAGATAGCTGAGTTGATCTTTCCTGGTCTCTCTCCGATATTTCTATAATCAGCTGTCAGGTCACATCATGGCTGGGGTGGTGGCTAGGTGATCTAGGATGGCCTCACTCACATGTCAGCCTATTACCAGGCAGCTAGGCAGAGCCACAAGATGACTGGGAAATATGTCTGCCATCATTCAGGAGGCTGGCCCAGACTGCTTTATACACAGTTTGAGGTTTTCAAGAACAGCAAGTGAGTGCAAGCCTCTTTATGAAAGACATCAAATCTTTGATAGCATGTTTGCTATTTTCCCATTGACAAAGGATATCACAAAGCAGACTATATGAACAGAAAAACTCATTACACCTTGGATGGGAGAAGCTTAAGAGGCACTTTGCAAAGGATCAAATGTACAGGGACGGAGAGAATTTGTGGCCATTTTTGCAATCTATCAAACTGGTTATTATTTTTGTAGTTATTTATATTATTGATAAAAATCAATAATTAAATGTCAATAAAGTAAGAGTGTCAACATCTGGCCATTTAACTTCCCTATGCCATATCCTCACTTGTTTTCCATTAACACAGAAATAAAGCTAAAGCTATTTATATAGTAGTCTACCCTTATCCTCAGGATATGTGTTTCAAGACCCCAGTGGATGCCTGAAACCTCATATAATACCAAACCCTATATGTGTATTGTTTTTTTCTATACATGCATGCCTGTGATAGAATTTAACTTATAAATCAGGCACAGTAAGAGGTTAACAACAATAACATAATAATATAGAACAATTATAACAATATGCCAGCATCGCTACCCTCGTGCTTTGGGACCATTATTAAGTATAAAAATGTTACTTGGCTGGGCACGGTGGCTCATGCCTGTAATCCCAGCACTTTGCAAGACCAAGGCAGGTGGATAACCTGAGGTGAGGAGTTCAAGACCAGCCTGGCCAACGTGGTGAAACCCCATCTCTACTAAAAATACAAAAATCAGCTGGGCGTGGTGGCAGGAGCCTGTAATCCCAGTTACTCTAGAGCCTGAGGCAGGAGAATTGCTTGAATCTGGGAGGCAGAGGTTGCAGTGAGCCAACATCACACCATTGCACTCCAGCCTGGGAAACAAGAGTGAAATTCCATCTCAAAAAAAAAAAAAAAAAAAAAAAGTTACTTGGACTCAAGCACTGTGATACCATGACTAAGTCTCATAACGAAGAAATCTACTACGTGACAGGTAGCGCATACAGCATAAAGATGCTGGACAAAAAGATGATTCACGTCCCACACGAGACGGAGCAGAACAGCCCGAGATTTCATCACTTTATTCAGAAAAGCATGTGATTTAAAATGTATCAATTGTTTATTTCTGGAATTGTCTATTTAATATTTTTGGCCACAGTTGAACACAGGAAACTGAAATCACAGAAAGCAAAACTGCTGATAAAGGGGAGGCTCCTGTACTAACATCCACAGCCTTCTGGGCTATGACTATATGAACCTCTCTTGCCTCACCTCCTCTTTACCATGTAGAACATGGATTACACTCATTTAGAACTGCTTGACATTCTTATATACTATATATATATATATATATGTGTGTGTGTGTATATATATGTGTGCATATATATGTAAGTGTATATATCTATATATAGGTACTGCTTGCCACCTTATATACTATAGTATATGTATACTGCTTGCCATCTTATATACTACACCATAGTGTGTGTGTGTATATATATATATATATACACACACACACTATCTGTATATACTGCTTGCCACTTAATACACTTTTCCAGTTGTGCACATTTTATATATTATCTGCTTTCCAAAAACCAGCTAAGAAACTTCCATTCAGATCTCAAATTTCTGCTTACATTTCACGTTCTCTGTAAAAGCCTTCCTGACTCCTATTTCTCTCCCACAAGGTAAGTTTCTCCTTGCTCCATAACACCTCTATTACACTTCACTGAATATACCTGCCTAGCTGCAGGCACCACTCACAAATCTGTGTGCAGCTGTGGTGGGCCTATGTCCCTATTCGAGACAGCACTTGGCAAAGTGTCCAGAATCTAGTAGGTTCTCAAAAAAGTGCTTGTGGAATGAAGGTACAAATACTAGAGTGACATACAAATTACATAGCCTAAATGTCATCTAGAGACAGGGTTAAAGATACCACCAATATGGGTCCTAGAGTGTGTGAGAAAGTCCTAATAACCAGGTCATATTTGCGTGCCTAGGTATCCTTGACTTCAGATAACCCAACTTTTATCGTTCTGAATATGTTTCATCACAGAGAAAACCTTCTCTCCTTTCACTCTCAGTGTGAATAAATGCTCTGTCAAAAGTGGGCCATTCCCTGCTATGAATTGATAGGATAGGGTCAAGCATTTTCCAGATCTTGAAACTAAGTTTTGTGCAAAAGTGCATAAATGCTGTTAGTAATGTATCTGGAGAATAGGATGTAGCCAGTGTACACCAGGGGACAGAGTGCTTTGTGAGAACGATTTATGATCTGTCAGGTGGGAACTTTTATGGTGCTGTGCGAAGAGACAAAGAAATTTTAGGAGCTGCTCAAAGCAACACAAAATATGCTTTCGAGCTTAATGAGGAGAGGTGATAGAATCGGGTTGGCACGTAAGGCTGGCTCCATGTGTTAGAGAAAAGCTGAAATGTTCTTAGTGTTATATATTTTGATTTTGCTAAATTTGTTTTGGGCAGAATGGATATTTATGTCCCTGCTCAACAAGCAGCGATTTCAATGTCTATCAATATAATAAGCGTTTTATTTGAAAATTGTGCCCCATGAACAATTTCTGTGTGAGTATGTCATAATTTTTTTTCATGCAAAAGCCTTCTTTTCTCGGGAAAGTGATGAAACCATTCCTCATTGTCTTGACTAAAGAAAGCAGCCTTACACAGGCCAAATAATTTTTACTTAGCTGATTAGAAAACATTCCCACAGGCGTCATCTTAAACGAGTCAAAGTATTCATATTGATAATATTTCTAAACTTCTAAATCTACAGTCTCTTGATCTAACTACTGACCAATAAGGTTTCTACAATGAAATAAACTTCAGATTTATAGTGACAGTAGCCAAGATGAACTCAACAGTCCTCAAACATAGAAGGGCCCTATTAGAAAACTTAGATAGAAACCAACTCTATTAACTATGAAGAAACAGGGGTCAAAGTAGTTGAAGTGATGGATCAAGATTCGAATAGCTCAAACATGTCAAACATAAGGACTGCACTCTTTTCACAGTCTATGACTGTCTTTTGGTGTCTTATTTTACTTGTTGACAAAACTGCATTTGCAGTTGTTCTAATCAGGCTTCACAGAATATTCTCAACTACCCTAAAAACGACTAGAAGAAATGACTGCTTCAGTAGACTTCACTGTCAATACCATGGCAATGCAAAAGGCCCCCAAATCCACCACACCACACCACAAAATTGATACCACAATACCATAAGTGTGCAGAATAATGCCTATTGATTTATTCAGGAAACAATGGAAAGGGAAGTATCAGTAACATCATATATATGTATGTTCTTTTTCTGACAAAAAAGAATAAGCATGATGAAAAACATGGTTAATGTTTTCCAGATTTGATGCTATATATATTTTCCTCCAAAGATAAATATGAAAAATTGCATCCATCTCTTCATACATCCAGCCAAAAAAGTGCATACCTGTGTACTTAAATTGTCCTAAAGTAATGCATGTCAATATTAGGAAAGTGCTCAAAACCTTAGGCGAAGATGGCCTGATATTAAACACTTGCTGGATGAAATCTTAAACCAAGAATCTGTTTGTCCCTTGATTATACAGTCTTATTTTATTTGTTTATGCCCATCCAAGTGGTCCAGAAGGAAATGCCCTCAACTCCTTTGATTAATGGGTGGCAAACTTCAGTCTGCATGAGAATCAATTGTAGAACACACACACACACACACACACACACACACATATATATAATAAAAATATTATATACAAAAGATATATAATAAAATATGCTATATATAGTATATTTTATTGTGGACTATATATATATATATATATATAGAAGCTCTGGAGATGGAGATGGAGATATATATCTCAATCTCCAGAGATTATGATTCAGTAGATCTGCAGGGAGATGGGGATTACAAAAGTCTAGTCTAGTTTTCATATTATTACAGGCGAAACTAAAAGTTGATCTGCAAGTATTTTGAGGATCATTACTCTAGATTTTAAATCATTTTTGCTAACCTGGGAAGGCATATTTCATATTGGGTTGTGATCAGACTTTTTTCTGAGGCCTGATAAATTGTCATACATTTGAACCAAGTAAGGAAAAAACATCTGCACAGAGATATCAGGTACAGCCAGTATACAGTAATGGGGTAAAGGAAAAATCTTAGGCACTAAAGTGCCTGAATTTGAGCTCTAACTTCACTACAGATTAGTTATTCATCCCTGGGAAAATTAGTCTCCTTCTACCCCATGTTTCTCCTAGGCACACGAGAGCTAATAATATTAGTTGCCTTACAAGATTGTTTTGCTGATTAAATGAATTGAAACAGAAAAAGAAAAAAAGGGAGGGAGAATGTGCACATAGAAAAGTGTCTGTAGAAAAGCAAACTAATTGTATAAAGTCATATGAATGTATATGCAGAAACTGACAAAATTGAGTGAAAATACAAGCAGAAGTATTATAAAACTTTAGTTGATTTGAGTCTTTGAGGGGAATGTATTGATTCAAGAAGGAAGGGAGTAAGACGCCTTCAGAAAATTATAGTAGGCTTTCAATGACCTGAGAAGGTAATAGAATATAGTAGTCAGAGTCTCTGATCAGAGTCATCAAAGATTCACTTTATGCAAGTTGAGTATCATGATTCTTTTCTGTTTTCTCTTTGGACATCCATTTGCAGACATCTGTGTTTTAGAGAGTATATCCATGGAGGGCACTCCTTGAATATCTGGCCATTATTCTCTTGTGGACCTTGTCTTGTGGAGAGTTGAAGTAATTGAGAGATGGAGCAATATGTGTTTGTACTTTTTATAGGCTGTGATCCTGATTCTGACATCCACCTCTGGTCATATCACACAGTAGAAGAAAGGGATTATAAGCCCAGACTCTACAAAACCAATATAGACGTGTTTCTCCTATCTGAGGAGAATTCTTTTTCTATGATAACATAGGGATGTACTTTGAAAAATGCATTGGCAGATGCAAAAGGATTTGTACTTAAAAAGGAGAAAATATATTGTTTTTAAACACATTTCACTAAAATAATACATATTATAAAGTAAAATTTTAAAAAATGTGCTGCAGTAGTAAAAATAAAATAACTCCTTGCTTAGTACTCTAAGAGATTATAATTGATAACACTTTGAGTGTGTCAGGCATTTTCGGAAAAAAAAACTCACTCTATATCCATCTATGAGAATGATACTGGATATTTGATTTGTATCTCATTTGGTTTGCAAAACATGGTATCATGATCAGTTTCGTCTGTCTTTAAAATTAGTTGAAAACCTAATTTGTATTGATGTGCTGTAATGGATATGGAAGTCTTCTACTTTTGAGAAAGTAGATTGCCATTCTTCTCCATTATAAATACTGATTTGTATATAAAATTGTTTTCTAGAGAGACAGTTCCAATTTGCAAATCAAGTACAGTGCAAGAGAACATTCATTTTCCTGTACCCTTGTTAACACTGAGTATGAATGATTTTTTAAAAATTTTAAAATTAGCTAGTTAGTTCAATAAAAGGACTCATTTTTACAATTTATTTTACTGAATTTATCATTTAGCAGTAAAGTAAACTTAGTTTCAGCCAGTTGAGGATGTAGAATTTGGAAATGAAAATTTAGTGCCAACTGTATGATCTGCCTTCCGTTCTTGACTTCTCTCCCTGCTGGTTGGGCTTAAAAATGAGCCTGTCACCATCTGTCTGTGTCTGCCCCATTTCTGTTCCTCAGAGGCAGGCATGGGTGCAATCACACAGACACCCCTTGATTCCACACATAATCAAGAGGAAAATTCAAAACCCCAGGAAAAAAGCTTTTCACAGAACAAGAATTGCATCCTCGATCTTTACATGCTAGAAACAGCCTTCAATTTTCTCCATGGAGATCTGTTTTATGTGTTATTTTGGTTTGCTTCTAACCCTGTTTTCTACTGCAAAAAGGCAATTTCTATTACTGGACTCTTGATTCGATGTGCAGTTAAATGCTACATCACAGCTGAGTTTTAATATTTCACAGTGGATGGGGAAAGTATTAACAAAGTTTATGTTTCCCTCCACATATAATAACCACTAATTCACCGGAGTTAGGGGTTTCGGTGGTCTGACTCTGTACTTCCCTAACAGCATATTTTCTACCTGTTTCATCAAGATTTCACCCAAATATAGTATTTTTTAGAAAACTCTCTGGTTTGCCTATTTGACAGAACGTCAATCTCGGTCATTTAACTCAAATGCTTCAAACCTCTGACACCCCCGGACAGAGGAAGGCCAAAAAAACTCAAGGACAACAGTCAATCCCTGGTTTACTCTTCTTACAAAGCTTCACATTTCACCCTACAGCTCCCTAGTATCGTTATCTGTTCTCTGTGTCAGCTAATTCCTACCCCCAAAAAAATCATCTAGAAGAGCCAGTAAAATCCAACTTATACTTGAAATTTGACTTGAAGATCGTAGTGGAAGGAATTTAGCTTCTGAAAGCTATCAGGGTTCCTTCCTGGTCAAGGAGGTTCATTTTGTTTGTTCCCAAGTATGGGTGGGTACCAAGTGACCTTAAACATCATCATATAGGCCGGGCATGGTGGTTCACACCTTTAATCCCAGCACTTTGGGAGGCTGAGGCAGGCGGATTGCCTGAGGTCAGGAGTTTGAGACCAGCCTGGCCACCATGGTGAAACCCCATCTCTACTAAAAATACAAAAATTAGCCGGGCGTGGTGGTGGGTGCCTGTAGTCCCAGCTACTCAGGAGGCTGAGGCAGGAGAATCACTTGAACCTTGGAGGTGGAGGATGCAGTGAGCTGAGATTGCAGCACTACATTCTGATGATGCAATTCAGTGAGAGTAAGTGTCAGTGGAGGGCCAGGACCAGAGTGTGAACCCCAAAATGTGAGCCTCAAATGAACTGGATGGATGGAGAAGCTAGTGTCATTCCTGCAGGAAGCTGTTTGGTTGTTGTTTTTGTTGTGGTTTTTGTTCTGTTATTTTCTCAATGACTTCTCCACAGGGGTCTCTATGCCCCAAAACTACACTATAAATTCCTCAAGGGCGCTTTGCAGTCTGACAGATCTGAATTGTAAGCCAGGTTCACCAATTACTGTGTGATATCGGCAAACTTACTTGATTTTTTTAATCTTAGTTTTCCCATGTGTTAAAAAAAGAAAAACATATCCTAAGGTTGTTGTGGGGATTACATACGTGCATATGTACAAATGCCTGCAACACTGCTTAGAGCATGGTAAACATGAGGATATGGTAGCTGTTTTAAAATATATTTCTTACGAACCTCCATGGCATTAAAATTGGGTTGGCCACAGGATCAGCATTTTAAAATCATTTCTGGGTTTGAATTGAGCTAGAGCAGAGCATTTTAATATATTGATTTGTTTATTTGTTTATCCTTTCAAATATTTGTTTATCCTTTGTTTATTGAGTTGTTTATTTGATTTGTTTATCCTTTCAAATATTCCAGCCTTCAATTTAGAGAATTTGTTTGAAATATATTATAAAAACAGAAGATAGGAGAAAGGAAAACAAGCCATATTATTTTGGCACACAGTAGGCACTAAATAAATATTTGTCGAGTGGATGAACATATGTGTATACTCCAAGCCACTCAACTCAGTGGAGGAAATTATGTATTTCAATACCAGGCCTCAAGTGTGGTACAGAGGGAGAATGTAGTGATAGAGGTTTCAAGTTACTGTATATGCCCTAAAAGTTTTACACAGCTAAATGCAAAACATCTAATAAACTATAGATTTGCTTTACTGAAAAATTAATATCCCAAAAGGAGAGCCTTAAACAAGGTTCTGTCTCTGTCTGACAAAAAAGAAGTGGTTTATGTATTGGAAGCCAAGGTATCTTAGAAAACAGAGACCATCATGCCCAAAATTTATGATAGGTGAATAAACAGGACATGGACCTGAGGCATTTAGATGTTGAAAATTCAGAGAAAAAGTATGCTAGATTTCAGAATATGAGTTTTTTTGTTTTGTTTTCTTTTGTTTTTTAACCGGGTCTCACTCTGTCGCCCAGACTGGAATGCAGTAGTGTGATCTCGGCTCACTGCAACCTCGCAACTTCTGCCTCTCAGGCTCAAGTAATCTCACCTTAGCCTCCTGAGTAACTGGACCACAGGCTTGTGCCACCGCACCCAGATAATTGTTTTTGTATTTTTAGTAGAGATGGGGTTTCCCCATGTTGCCCAGGCTGGTCTCAAGTGATCCACCTACCCCTACCTCCCAAAGTGCTGGGATTAGAGGTGAGCCACTGCTCCTGGCCAAGAATGAGTTTTTAAATGAAGAGGTGATTCCATCTTGCAGGGTAGATATCAGCAATGAAGTTTGAGATCATAGTGGTAAATGATTCTAATGAGCAACACTGATAGACATGCCCTAGGGTTTCTAAAAAGATGCCAAAGAGCTCATAGACTGACTCAGATCTGAAAGGGGCATGAGAAAGGAAGTGAGAGCAACACACAGCAAAAACAAATATAATATGGTAGGAAGGATGACAGGGATATTAAAAACACCCAAGGAACTGAGAGCTACGAACAGTGGTAAGCTCCACTTAACCTAAGCAAAGGATGTAGTTGCTTTGTCTAGGAAAGGAAGATGGCCTAGAAAGGGAAACTGCTACTTGGGAATGACGTGTGACTTCTCTTTTATCTCCTATTTAGTAGCCTCACTTTTAAGAGTTGTCTGTATTTCCTGACATTGGACTTACCTATTTTTTAAAAAAAAATTTAATTTTTTATATTAATTTTTGTGGGTACATAGTTGATGTGTATACTATGGAGCATGTGAGATTTTTGATACAGGCATGCAATGCATACTAATCACATCATGTAAAATGGGGTATCCATTCCCTGAATTCAGTTATACTCTTTTAATTATTTTTAAATGTACAATTCTATTATTATTGATTATAGTTATCCTCGATTTACTTCTTAGTATGCTCTGGTCTGGCTTCTCCTCCTATCACTGCATTGGCACTGTTGCACTTACAAACATGAATCTTAAGGACATCTTCCTGTTCTCACCTTACTTCCTCTTGCTGCAGCATTTTAAATTGTCCCTTGCTTTCTCCACACTCTTCTATGCGAATTCTTGCCTCTCTAACAAACCTTAAAATGTTTGTATTTCTAGGGCCGGGTGCCGTGGCTCACACCTATAATCCCAGCACTTTGGGAGGCCAAGGCAGGCAGATCACAAGGTCAGGAGTTCGAGACCAGCCTGGCCAATATGGTGAAACCCCATCTCTACTAAAAATACAAAAATTAGCCGGGTGTGATGGTGGGCACCTGTAGTCCCAGCTACTTGAGAGGCTGAGGCAGGAGAATCGCTTGAACCTGGGAGGCGAAGGTTGTAGTGAGCTGAGATCACGCCACTGCACTCCAGCCTGGGCAACAGAGCAAGACTCTGTCTCAAAAAAAGTAATTAATTAATTAATTAATTAATTAAAAAGTTTGTATTTCTCAAGCATTGCCCTGTCCTAGCCTTCTTTCTATTTTATATTTTCTCTCATAACCAACGTTTCACATCAAGCTTGACATGTCAACTTTTATATATCCCAATATCAATATTGATCTGCCTCTTAAAGTGAGGTTTGCAGCTCAGTTTTCTCCTTGAAGCTGCTTGCTTGGCAGCTGCATTCAAATTCATCTCAAATTCAATAGGTACAAAACTAAACTTCTGGCTGGGCACGGTGGCTTGCACCTGTAATCTCAGCACTTTGGGAGGCCCATGTGGGCGGGTCACCTGAGGTCAGGAGTTCAAGGCCAGCCTGGCCAACATGGTGAAACTCCATCTCTACTAAAAATAAAAAAATTAGCTGTGCATGGTGGCAGGTGCCTATAATCCCAGCTACTCAGAAGGCTGACACAGGAGAATCTCTTTAACCCGGGAGGTGGAGGTTGCAGTGAGCCAAGATTGCACCATTGCACTCCAGCCTGGGTGACAGAGCAAGACTCTGTCTCAAAACGAAAACAAAAACAACACAAAAAACAACTTCTAATGATCTTTTTTTATGGTGGAAGCGTGTATTTTTCTGTATTCACAAACATTTTTTCAGTTATGCAAGCTAGAAACATCTCAGTTACGCTTGCCCATTCGTAGTGATTATCACTACATACTGCTGATTTTCCCTCCTAAATGTGTCTTAAATACTACTAACTCTCCCGTGTCACCAACCCCCCTATTCCCAAAACCATCATTAACCACCTGAACTAGCACAAGAGCCTCCGACCTTCATTCTGCTCCTTGTTTTGGCTCTCCTGGAAATGATTTTCATGCTGCAGGCCAAGGATCTATGTAAAATAGAATTTGGAGATAATTGCTTCTCAGCTAAAAACCTGCAGTGGCTTCCCATTGCAAACAACCTGGTGGCTGAGCTTCTTAGCAGAACTGGAAGGCCTGGCAGGGTGCAGGCCCTCACTATCTCTCTTGCCTCATCTGCCACAATTTTCTGCTTTGCTCCTCGAGCCTCCCTCACAGTAATGTTCCATCAGCAATTTTGTCATTGTTATTCTGTTTTAGTTTAATTTTTATTTTCATAATAGTTATTCATATACATGGTTTTCTAAACCTGTGGTTTTACCAGTCAATCAACTCCATAATTCTAAGTGACATGCATATATTGTTACTATTTATTTTTAAAGAAACTTTCATTGCATTTATACCATTGAAAATAAATAAGTATCCCTCATACATTACTCTACACACAGGCTTCTCATTTTTCCATCCTAAAATATGATTGTATCACAGGTTTGGGTTAAATTAATTTTAGCATTTTTATTATTTGCCTATGAAATAGTATTTGTGGCTGAACCATGTAGTATAGTATGCTTATACATTTTTATGACTTTTTTGTCTCTCTTAGAGTTAATAATTCCTTTATCTTTTAACTTACCTTTTTTATTATACTTACCATTAATTCATCCTCAAGATTTCAGGCAACAATATGTATTTCCTCTTGGCATATTTAAACACACCAAGGAATTTCTCAATTTAGATTTGTTAAATTTAACGAATTAGTTTATCTCAGAGAAGTTTTCCATCTTCCTGCTCCAGTCTGACGAGTTGTTCTTTAGATTTGCTGTCCAGCTCTTGTCCTGAGATCTGCCTTCACCATCATCTTTGGATTTTATGACCCTATCTTTTGGGATGAATTTCCTTTTCCATATGTCCATCTGTCTTAATTATCCATCATTTTGTTTTGCTTTGTAGTATTTTCCTGAGAAAGATATTTAATAACATTTTTGACAATGTCTGTGATAAACCATGGCCCATTTCAGAAATAAGGTTCACTAAAGGATTAATTATAGGGTTTGGTCTTTTGGTAAGTGAGTTTGGGAAAGGTTGAAGGAATTGGGTTCTGTTCTCAGTTGGATGCTGTCAGGAAGTAGGGGCGATTATATGGGGCCATCTTAATCATTCCTTTCTAGAAGGCGGGAGAAATGAAGCCTTGCTAACGTTCTGATTGGTTAAAAAAGCAGCACTTACTCCTATTGGTTAGGAAAGGGCTATTTGGTTACTTTTGTGGTTTAGACAATGTTCTTGTTTCTGTCTGTGCTCATCAGGATTATGGAGTACCTTATTTTGCCTTGTTCCATCATGGACACAGAGTGCCCTTGTCTGATATTAATTTTCTGTGAAACTGTGTGTGTTGGACAGGAGAACAAGAGGCCTACACAGCACTGAGTGTTAGGTCAGTTTCCAGCAACACTGAGGCCCAGCTGAGAATGCCCAGCTGGCTTTCACTGTCAGGTGCTGCCTTTCTTTTTCTTACCTTTAATTTCTTGGTTCACCTTTTATGGAATTTATATGATTTGCTTGTTGAACAAAGTGGCTAACCCTTTGATGATCTTTTTGCTTAGTTTCATGTTATTTTCTCTATTTTCCATCTTTGTCTTTTTCTGTTTTCTTTCTGGGAGATTTCCTAAATTTAACTTGCATCTTTTCCAGTAAATTTAATCTTCAAGAGTTTTTTTGTGGTTCTCCAGACATTCCTTTTCATGGCATTCTGTTCTTGTTCGTGCATTGAATACCTTATTTTATTGCTGTGAAGATAGGACAAAGTAAAGATGTTTGTGGCTTGTTTTTATTTGTTTTTGTTTTGTCTTAGGTTTTTATCTCTCTGCATTGTCTTTTCTCATATATTCTTATATATCCTTTTCTCTGTTAATTTATTCTCCCCCTTCCATTGATTCTTGTCTCTCCTTTCATATTTATAGTGAAACCCCGAGGAAGTCTGTATGCATGAGTGGTTTTCTTTTTTCATGTTCGTGAGGTCATTGTAAGGTGAGGTGGTTGGATTACTTCTTTTGAGAACCCACAGCCATTACTATGTGTAATTCTATTCACTTCCTAAGTTAGTTTTTAATTTTTCAGAAACTGGACATCCTATCTAACTAAGAATAAAAACCTTGCTGCCAGGGATAAAGGAGAAGAAAGTTGGGTAAGGAAGTTTGAGGTTTCAAACTCATTCTGTAAGGTTTTGATTATCGCACCTTTTCAACATAGCACCCCTGCCCTGAGCTGGCCTGATGTTCAAAATTCAGTTACATGTCATTAAAGGAGAGGGGCAACTCCCAGTTTGACTTAGTCAATGAGATAGGAGCGTATCTTAGAGACTCTAACTTCTCCTATAGACTTTCAGTCCATTTTGTGTAGCCTCACTTGGAACTCATTTTTAGAAAGTATTGAACCTCTAATGTGTGTTTTTCTTTCTGGGTTTCCTACTATATATTCACATTTTCATGATTCTTGTTAGTCTCATTACTAGCTTATGTATTTATCCTCTGAGTCTGTTAAGTGAGTTAACACTTGCTCATCTATTCTCTACCATGTCATTTTGTTGTTGCTGTCCCCTAATTTTCCTTTTGCTTTGTCACTGAGGATTTAGGAGTCACTAAAATTAATCGAATGAGTTCAAATCTTCACATTTAACTGGAAGTCTCAGTTCATACTTCAGACATAAGGATAAATTAAATTTTGAAAGATGACCATGGCATGGATACTGAGCTAGAATCTAGACTCAGATATTAAAAAGAAAATGTTTCAGTGATTAGAAAGGGAAGTACCATATGCTTTTATTAAGAATAAGCCATATTGGCTGGGCATGGTGGCTCACACCTATAATCCCAGCATTTTGGGAGGCCGAGGAGGGTGGATCACCTGAGGTCAGGGGTTCATGACCAGCCTGGCCAACATGGTGAAACCCCATCTCTACTAAAAATTAAAAAAAAAAAAAATTAGCCGGGTGTGGTGGCAGGTGCCTGTAATCCCAGCTACTTGGGAGACTGAGGCAGGAGAATCACTTGAACCTGGGAGACAGAGGTTGCAGTGAGTGGGGATCATGCCATTGCACTCCAGGCTGGGTAACAAGAGCAAAACTCTGTCTCAAGAAAAACAAAAAAAGGCCAGGGGTGGTAGCTCACTCCTGTAATCCCAGCACTTTGGGAGACTGAGGCGGGCGAATCATGAGGTCAGGAGATTGAGACCATCCTGGCTAACATGGCGAAACCCTGTCTCTACTAAAAATTAAAAAAAAAAATTAGCCGGTCATGGTGGTGGGCACCTGTAGTCCCAGCTACTCAGGAGGCTGAGGCAGGAGAATCGCATGAACCTGGGAGGCGGAGCTTGCAGTGAGCTGAGATCGAGCCACTGCACTGCACTCCTGCCTGAGCGACAGAGCAAGACTCTGCCTCAAAAAAAGAAAAAAAAGTCATTGATTTATCCTAATTTCCTATGTTAATAAGTTAACTAACCTGGCAGATCAATGAAATGCATTAGGTAGAGTAAAATAAATCATAGAATGGGTATTTGAAGATATTCTTATTGACATAATGTTGGGAAGTAGTATTTGTGGTGAATAGGATTAAGGACTTCGGATTTTATGCATAACATAGGGTTACATCATGGTTCTGCCAACTGTGTAACCTTGGATGAGTTACTTAACCTTTTATGCACAAATTTACTCTTCTGTAAAAATGAGATTAATCATTTATTTTAAAATGAAGATTAAATGTTTATTAAGGTTGTTGAACATTTTAAATAGAGTAATATATGTATGATGCTGTGCTAGACTGTCAGCAGCTCAGCCTCATATCCACACTTATCTTTATTTTCCATTGCATCACAGTGGAGAAGCTTGGGCTACATTTCCCCATATCTTTTTCCAGTATGCTTTTGTATGAGATTCTGGTCCACAGCTATGCCACCCTGAACACACTTGATCTCCTCTGATCTTGGAAGCTAAGCAGGTTGGGTCTGGTTAGTTTTTGTATGGGAGAGTACCTGGGAATACCAGGTGCTGTAGGCTAAAATTAAAAAAAAAAAAAGGTAAATAAATAAGTGAGAGTCTGCCAATGAGAAACAATGATCTGAGATTTCAGTGCAGAAGTAAAGGCAGCTGCAGGCAAAGTTGTAAACAAAAGACAGATGCAAGATACAGGGTCCCATTCTGGTCAGCTCCATCAAACCACTCACTTTACTCCTGCATCCAATAGAGATCAATAACCACTGCCTCCCTGGACAAGCTCCTTCAAATTCCATGCCCCCTGCTACAGGCAACTGAGAGCATCTTCCAGGAATTGACCTGTGGCTGCCTGGGCTTTCAGATGTTGTGAAGTCTTACAGTAGCTTCTCTGACCTTCACTCACTCATCTCTTCCAACTTTTCTGTAACTTCTAGAGCAATGTATTAAGATTATTTCCATCCATTAATACTGATATACATGTGGATGATGTATCCCCATGATATACATGTGGGAAAAAAAATTGGTCATGAGTTGACCACTGTTAAGGCTGCATATATGGGGGTTTATTTTGCTATTCTGTCTACTTCTACCAGTGTTTAAAAAGCAACAAGATGAGTTAAAATATATTTTCATATAAACAAATACAAAACTCTTTCTTCCTTGGAATATAGAATTAATTCTGTTTTCCCAACAGTTACAAATGCTAAGCACAGGGCCCAGCAGAAGGCAGTGCCCCAGCCTGTTGTCAATAGAAGTAGATTTTTTTTTCATAGTGTTATATAATGTTATATATGATTGGATTATTCTAACAAAGATATATGTATTGAAAAGCACATTTTGGTCCGGAAGTGGTTCTGATGGTATTTGCCTAGTCATTATCTTTGGTCTTCATACTATCACATAATCAGATTACCTAAAGTTGTATAGTAGCTGCAAAATGCAAGAGAATATCATGATATACTAAAGCAATGGTACAAATCTTTAAAAAATATTAAGCTTATTGGAGTGTAAATGTGACACAGAACTTGAGCCCCCAAAAAAAGGAAGATGATGGAATCCATAGATTATAAGTATTCTATCTTGGCTCAATTGTAGAACATTTTAATAAAGATTTTTTTTTTTTTTTTTTTTTTTTTTTTGAGACGGAGTCTCGCTCTGTCGCCCAGGCCGGACTGCGGACTGCAGTGGCGCAATCTCGGCTCACTGCAAGCTCCGCTTCCCGGGTTCACGCCATTCTCCTGCCTCAGCCTCCCGAGTAGCTGGAAATACAGGCGCCTGCCACCGCGCCCGGCTAATTTTTTGTATTTTTAGTAGAGACGGGGTTTCACCTTGTTAGCCAGGATGGTCTCGATCTCCTGACCTCATGATCCACCCGCCTCGGCCTCCCAAAGTGCTGGGATTACAGGCGTGAGCCACCGCGCCCGGCCTAATAAAGATTTTTAAAGTTTATTAGTATTTTAATAAGCCTATCATCTTTGTGTTTGCCCTGGATATGTGCCTTATTGGAGCAAGTGACCTTGTATTATCGAGCTCCCGCATTTCCCACAGCACTTAGCACAGAGCCAACCGTGTAAAATATCCTCACAAAGACTTATTAAATTAATTTCTTAAATCCCTTCTGGACTGCCCATTTGCCTTCATTAATTATGTTAGACCTAGAGGAGATGACCTCTACTTGCTGCCATGGTTGAATTACATCTTACACTTGTAGATTCATTGAACAATACAATTTTCCAGGGGAAGAGATAAACTATAGAGTTAGAACATATTCATTTTATGGATGAGGATATGAACGTTCTCATATTTCATGTGATTTTGCCACCTCCCTCCCTGAAACCCATATATTCACATTTGTTCTCTCAGATACTTTCTCTCTTACAATCACTTCTTGCTGCAAAATAATAAATTTGGAGTGAGAATGGAGATGTGCCTTCCCTTGTGTCTTTTCAGCTGGTAAACCACAAATAAATATCAGAGTCCTAACTATTATAATTCAAAATACAAATATGCCATGTCAAACTGTTTTTAAATGATAGATTTTCATTTTTTAATTACAGCAAGTATTTCTTTTGAGATTCAAGAGATTTTAAGCTTTATGAGCATTAATACCTTTGTGATTGTGATTTGTTTGCCCCTAATTAAAAGAATCAGAGTATAGTTGGGAAAGAATATTGATGCACCAGGAAAACTTATGAAGAATGCAGCTACTTATTTTCTCCTTTTGTTTCAATGATCAAAAATCTAGCACATGGCAGAAATGAGGCAAATCTGCTATGACAGGATAATTGTGGCTGTATCTTCTGTTCCATCATTCATTAACAACAAGATAAATAGGAATCCTGGATTTTGCTAATCTGATGGTCTTGGCTCTGTTTTTGATAAACAGTATAAATTATTTCCAGAAGAGCTGTGGCGAAAAATGTGAGATATTATTGCAGAACTCAACACTCTCATAAAACTTACAAAACTTCTGCATCTGGCCCAGGAGACGCTAACTACCCATGTGTCTTCTTGAGCCCAAGGGAAGACATCAGACGGGCTCTCTCCCTCACCATGTCCTCACGCTTAGTTCTCCTTGCACCTGGATGAAAGGGAGACTGCCAGCATTTCTTCAGCAGGCTTCTGGCTGTCAAAACAAACGCAAGCCTCCTGGGGATACTCACCCTTGCTTGCTGAGGCGAACACACCGTGTTAAGCGTTTTACATATGTTATCCTCATATATCCTTACAGAGCCTTTGAGTAGGGGCTTCATTAAGCAAATGATAAAAGTGAATCTCAGGGAGGGTTTGATTTTTAATAACGTATATCTTTTAAATGAAAAGGTTAGGACTGGAGCCCCTGTTTCTCGGTACCAAAGTGGACACTGCAATATCCTGCTTCCCAGAGCTGCTCTGCGGGGGACATAAGTTCTGAAACCCTCCTGATTCCATTACTTTCCTTTGACGCCTGTCTTAGTCAGTTCAGGCTGCCAGAACAAAATACTATCAACTGGGTAGTTTAAACAACAGAAATTTATTTCTGATAGTTCTGGTGGCTGGGTAGTCCAAGATCAGTGTGCCAGCCTGGTCCGTCTTTGGTGAGGGCCCTCTTCTGTATAGGAAGGCCATTTTCTTGCCATGTCCTTCCTCATGTGGTGGAGAGGAGAGAAAGGAATCCTTTGTGTCTCTTCTTAAAAGGTCATTAATTCCATTCATGAGGGGTCCACCCTTATGTCCTAATCACTTCCTTTGGGAAGCGCTGCCTCCTAATACCATGGCACTGAAGATTAGGCTGTCTCAGGAATTTTGGCAGAACACAAACGTTCAGTCCCTAACAATGCCTGAGATTAACGGTGAGTACTTTAAGGTTTCTAAGTGATGAAAAGAAAGTTTTTCTAGCCCACTGTGTGCTGAGAATGCTGTTGTTACATGGCAATATTGACATTTAATTAAAATATTGTTAATACTAGAATGTAAGCTCCCTGAAGGCAGGGTTATTTGTCTGTTCAGTTCAACATTGTATCTCAAGTTCCTGGAACAGTGCCTGAAAAAACAAGGTGCTCAACAAATAGCTATTGAATGAATGGATCTTCTGGGTTGAAGTCACCTCGGTGCCAGCTTTGGACTGCCCACCAATATTTTTGTTTTGTTGCAGAAAAGAAAGGTCACACTTCAGAGAAATAAATGAACCTTTTAGAATTCACTGAGAAAAAAAATGATAGAAGTTTCTGCAAACCACAACTAAATAGATACAAAGTCTCTAGCTACTCTTTCAGAGTAGTTCCTCACTCCTTATAAACTATAGGCATTTCTGCTTCCAATCCACTAAGTTTTAGTCCATTAATAAAACCCCTACCAGTAGTGGTTGGTGCACGCATGACAGGAGGAAAATGATGTCTTGGCATAAACAACCAGAATGATAACGCTGCCCCAAATACTACTTGTTTCATTGAGATTGTTTGTTCCTAATTAATCTTTCTCTAGTAAGGATGAAATGTAGAGAGATACCTGACTTCCACATGATTCCAGTAACTGCTTGGCTTGTATATGTGTATTTAAAATAAAGAGAACAAATGAAAGAATGATAAAGAAAAAGTGTAAGGGGAGAGGAACAAGGGCTACGCAAGTATAACAAAAAAGAAAAGCTACAGAAGATAGGGAGGATCTAAATTGAAGCATGTGAATGGGAATTTCATTATACTTTAAAGGAGACGAGTGCTGCAAGTTGACTATTAGGATATGATTAAAAAATAACTAACCTGCACATTGTGCATATGTACCCTAAAACGTAAAGTATAATAATAATAATAATATAAATAAATAAATAAATAATACTTTGTTGAGAAAAACAATGTTAGGCCCGACATGGTGGCTCATGCCTGCAATCCCAGCACTTTGAGAGGCAGAGATGGGTGAATTGCTTGAACTCAGGAGTTCGAGACCAGCTTGGGCAATGTGTCCGAGACCTCATCTCTGTTAAAAACACAAAAAAATAGCCGGGCGGGTGGTGTGTGCCTGTGGTCTCAGCTACTCCAGAGGTTGAGGCGGGAGGATCCCCTCAGCCCAGGAGGCGGAGGCTGCGGTGTGCCTAGATCACACCACTACATTCCAGCCTGGGTGACAAAGCAAGAAGACTCTGTTTTGGAAAAAAAAAAAAATGTTGTAGATTCATGAGTTAGAATATCTTTTTTAAAAATTTTTACACTAATCTACATCTGAATTGCAAAACTACTATCTATCGTCTGATCACAGTCGACCCTCTTGCAGTTATGGTGAATAAAAGGAAGTAAGCCAAAGCAAATATCAGGATCTTAAATGTTTCAACTTTCTCCCTGATTTATATTTTTCACAGTGACCCCTGTTTACTCGTGTGGAAAAGAGAGAGTATCACTCATGGCATAGTACAACTGCAGCAAAGGGAAGATTACAGATTTTCTTTCTAACTATAGCATCCAGGCTTTGCAATAAAATAGTAGTTTGATCATTTATATAATCATTACTTTTAAGGGAGCAATTCAATCCCCAATTAAAGAGCTGAAGTATGTAAACAGATACGATGCTCTCTTTGTACTCTTATTGAGAAGTTACTTTTTAATTGCTTTGCTTATAATTTCAACTTCAAAGCCAGTAATAGCTTTCGAATTAATAGCTCATAGCCCATTTGATACACTGATATTTAATTAATGAGTTCATAACTCTAGTGGCACATTGCCTTTCTGACAGCTCCTCCAGGTTGTTAGTTACCATATTGCTATCTGTTGTCTGCTAACGTTCTTAGAGAGGTCATTTTGCCTGTGTTATCCTTTCAGCTGGATGGTGAAAAAGAATGGGCTCAATCAGAGAGAAAGGTGCCCCTTCCCCTTTCCTGCTCAGTAGATAACTAGCTTTGTTAGACCTCTGGGTATAGTTCAAATTTCATATGGTTTTAACTTCCTAGTTGTAGAGTTTGTCTACACTGATGTCATCTACAACCCACTAACTTAATAACTGTCATATCTATAGGGTTTGGAGATGGAGAGGTGGATGAATGAGGCCACATCTCTGTCCTCTTCTCTCCAGAAGCCTTTTCAGATTATGCCATAGCCCACAATGTTCTTCCTTACCATGACTCTACTAGTTACTTGGCAAGAGGTGGAAAACTGTGGCTTTTGAGCTAAGGATGTGTTTTACATTTTTTTAAAGGAGAAAAAAAAGAAAAGGAGGAGGAGAAAAAGGAGGAGGAGGAAAGGGAAATTTCAAGACATTTGCAGAAAAAAACAAAAACAAAAACAAACAAACAAAAAAACTTACCCCTGAAGGATAAGTAACCCTGTGTTAAGCTTCTGTAATTGAAACCCTGTCACTGGGGACAACTTGGCCAATTTTTTTCTCTGACTCACAGAACGTGTTTTCTGTAAGTGTTGATGACAATGACGAGGCCACTCTATAAGAAGCCACCACTACTAATAGGCTATTCCTGTCAGAGAAGCAGGCAGCCACTCTCAGTGTGACTTGGGATTCATTATTCCTTCTTTTAGGTGAATTGGTGCCACTCAGCATTATGCCTTCTTACAGGGTTTCCGAATCTAAAACAAAACAAAAATCTCTCTCACACTGGGACTTCCTCTTCAAAATGCCTGCTCTCCCCAGATGTCCTCAGTTAGGATGACTGGCATTGAGTCTGTCATTTGAAATCCACTTTGTTGAACTTAGTTCTGGCCTTTCAGAGGACTCTTCCAGAGGCAGTGACTCTGGGAACATTCACAAACAGGGACAAAGTGTTCCCATGTTACCCACTGGAGGTTTGTGGGTAGCCACTGAAAGCCAGGCCAGAAAGAGGATGACACAGGAGAAGGACCGAGAAAGCCAGAAGTACCACACCTTAGCCTGTATCAGTCAGTTCTCCGTACTGAGCACTAATTTATCCAGACTTTTTTTTTCTCTCTCTTTTGAGATGTAGTTTCGCTCTTGTTGTCCAGGCTGGAGTGCAATGGCGTGATTTCGGCTCACTGAAACCTCCACCTCCTGGGGTCAAGTGATTCTCCTGCCTCAGCCTCCCGAGTGGCTGGGATTACAGGCATGTGCCACCACGCTCAGCTAATTTTGTATTTTTAGTAGAGACGGGGGTTTCTGCATGTTGGTCAGGCTTGTCTTGAACTCCCGACCTCACGTGATCCACCTGCCTCGGCCTCCCAAAATGCTATGATTACAGGTGTGAGCCACTGTGCCCCGCCTATCCAGACCTTTTTAGGAAGAAGTCTTCGCAAGATAAAGAGGAGAAGAATACTGCAGGAGTAGAGAACAGGAAGCAAACATAAATATGTCTACTTCAGTGTTTAGCTGAAGGCTGGCCCTGCCTTTACTTTATAGATTGCTGTAAAGTTAGAAGTAATTAATGATAATTGAAATAACTGTGAGTTATTAGTAATATTTGGATTATTAAGATAAAGATAAAATGATAATTGAAATAACTGTGAGTTATTAGTAATATTTGGATTATTAAGATAAAGATAATTATAATAAAATTAGGTACTACAAATAGTGATTGCATTCATGATTTTAATTTTAATGATCGCTTTAAAAAGTGTGCTAGAAATTGATTTTCTATAAATGGGCTAATAATAATAATGGTAATAAGTATAGCTACCACTTATTGAGTGCTTCCCATGCATCAGGAACTGTGTTGTGTCCTTCATATGCATTATCTTAACTCATTAAAAATATTTTGACAACGTGGATTAATGAGAAAAAGGACCCTCCCTGAGTTTTGAGAGGGTATGCCAAGAAAGTTACTAGAGGAAAGAATTAGCTGGAGAAATATTTTATTAGAATTCTAGGTATGGGCTTGGTCTGGAGGCTCACACCTGTAATCACAACGCTTTGAGAGGCCGAGGTGGGTGGATCACCTGAGGTTAGGAGTTTGAGACCAGCCTGGCCAACATAGCGACATCCCGCCTCTACCAAAAATACAAAAATTAGCTGGGCATGGTGGCAGGCACCTGTAATCCCAGCTGCTTGGGAGGCTGAGGCAGGAGAATCATTTGAACCTGGGAGGCGGAGGCTGCAATGAGCTGAGATTGTGCCATTGCACTCCAGCCTAGGCGACATAGCGAGGCTCTGTCCCAGAAAAAAAAGAATTCTAGGTATGATTCTAGGTATGAGACTTTCCAATATGAAGACAAAACTTTTGCAGTCCATCCTCCTAAAGACAAGTGGAGAACATTTGAGATGACAGACTGAGCATTCTTCGTGGACTGCTTCACAGAAACTTCATTTCCACAAGCAAGAAAAGGAGGCTCATATAACACACAAACTCGAGAGCAGCATGTGCTCAAAACTACCCATTAAAATGACAGCAATAGTTATTTCTGGTTTGTCCTGAATCTGGCATATTTGGTTCTATTACTGGCTTCTGAAAAGGTCAAGTGCTTGTGCAAAGGTAGACAGGTATGTGCAGTTAATATAAACATTTGTGATAAATACACATGCTAAAAAACAGGATTCTGCTTTACTTATTATCCTTGAAATTGTCTCTAAAGATATTGCATCAAAAAAAGACCAACAAAAAATAGCTACTATTTGTTGAGTGTTTAGAATTTGCTAGCAATCTGACAAGCATTTTACACGTTATAGCGCTTGAGTGAGTTGGCGAAATGATTCCCCACTTTATCTGTAAGGAAACTGAAGCTTAAAGAATGTTCTGATTTCCACAATGCCATGGAGACAATGTGCAGTGTAGCTGAGATTTAGCTAAGTATTTATAAAGTCTCTTAAACTATTAATTGTTTAATTTGGTAGTTTGTTGTAATGTCCCCACTGGTCACTCACAACTCTAATCAGTTGTTCATCTCCACTGTGTTTATGTGTGTGTGTGTGCCTTTGTATTGTGAGCCCAAAAGAAAAAGGGCAGCCCCTCTCACAGCACCAGGTGGTGTTACTCATTTAATTAGCACATGCTTTGATGATGTTGATAACATTCGGTATTTTTCTCTCTTTTGCTCTAAGATATTTATCAGCATGAACCAGGATCCTTCCTTTTGTGCTACAGAAAAACTGGCCCTAAGATGTGTTGGAAAGGGAAGACTATTCATCTGATATTTGGTTTCTCTGCTTTTGTTTTCTGATTGTATGTGAGCACAGCCAGCTGCTGTAAAATTTTGAAAATTCCAAAGCCCTCCTATCTATTGAGTTAAATCTTTCCCCTCCATTTAGCCCATGAGCCAGTGTCTTTTTCTAATTGTAAGGTTTATAAAAAGCTAATGAATATAGGAACTGTGTATGTAACTGTAGAACTATTATTTCTTTTTAATTCCACTCAGATTTTCTTCAACACACTATGGATGTGAATTGGGTAAAACTATTAAAGTCATCATATACATTAACATAAAGCCAAAGCATTAAAACAAAGAGAGGTTATTTCTCAAGCCTTCTGGAGGTAATTTCCAAAGTCAGCCTTTTCATTTTTTCTCCTCATAGACACATTTTGCATGCATCCAAGCTCCTCCCTTGTTACCAAATCAGGTCAATATGGCCCAACGTGTGGACAGTTTAGTTTGAACACAGTTACATGGAAACCTAAATGAGGTTGCCAAGCAAAGATCACTGGAAATTTCCATTGCTTTTAATGATCTTTTGGAATGTATAGTACTTTTTTTTTTTTTTTTTGGTTTATGGGATGGTAGCTTGCAGTTGGCAGTGCGAATCAGAGGAACACCCAAAGTTAAATGTGTGAATAAAATACAAGAACAACATAGTAATGACTAATAAGATGTAAATGCTAAGAAATTTTCTTGTCTTTTAAATTAGACATCTGTGCCCTATTTTTACATGCTCATCACCATAAGCGCTTGAGCATGTTTCCCCCAATCTGTCAGCATAGACATATTCCGACGGCCCTGAAGCTTTAACACCTTCCCTGCTACAGAAGTGTCCTGGCAGCCACTCCTGTGGAACATCTGCTGAAAGCAAAAGATGTGCGACGCAGGCCCCACCCTTGAGGGTTTTGTTAGAGAAACTGGCATAGAGCCACTTCTCTGAGGAAAGAAAGAACTGTGTTTCTGGGTCATGTGTGCAGGAAGATCGGCTTGGGGGACACCGCATCTCCCCAACAGGCCTACTTGTCATATGGATTCACCAGTTCAGAACTTGGCCTTGTGTATGCACAGGAGGAGGAGAGCAGATGAAGAGCTATCTCAAAACTGAGCTGCCTCAAGCCCACACATGTTTGCACAGCTTGCCAAGTGGCGAGAGTGTGGACTGGTCCTATCTGCAGAAAAACAAGTGGTCTGAAATCATCTGAAATGCTTTGCATTTGACCAGGGGAGAAGCTGATGCTCAACTTCAGAGGCCCCAGAAAGCTTCCTTGGAAAGATCATAGCCAGGGTTTTAGGAGGCTGCTTTGCTCACTGAGAAGATCCTTATTCGAAGCCAATGTGTTTTTAGGGGATCCTAAAAATCTGATGCTTCGTAAACTACTGGTTCACCTGCTGATACCTCAGAACCTACCCCTTCACATCCCTCTCGGGAAAATGTATGTGTGTGTGTGTATATATATATTTATATAAATATATATTTATATATTTATATTGATTATATATTATTTATATATATTTTATATATAAAATATATTTTATATATAATATAAATATATATAATTTTTATATATTAAAACATATATATAATATATATTATATATAAATATATATATATTTTAATAGTAAGAGATGGGCTTAAAAGTCAAATCCCTCAGCATGGGCAAAGTGATGACAACCATACATTAAAGTAGAAATATCTGATAAATTGTTCTAGAGAGCAGGATGAGAAAACAGACTAGCAGAAAAGCTGGGTGAAGAGAGAAGAGGCAAAGATTGGAGAGAGCAACCTCAGAAAAGACAAAGGTAAGGACCCCAAAGCTGAAGTTTCCTGGCTATATTGTTAAATCCCAAGGTCAACTGCATTTTCTATTAAGAATGTTATCGGTTCCTTTGTTGAACACTTTACATTTTATCCACTGACTTCTTACTTCATCAACCATCCTGTGAAATTATTTCCATTTTATAGACAAAGCAACTGAGGCTCAAAAAAGATCAGATCAAAGTTAGCTGAGAGAGATGCATGGATTATACTGGAAAATAAATGGAATTTGGAGTCAAAATGAGCTGAGATGCGAATTTCAGTTTCAAAAGTTGTTAATTATATGACCTTGAGCAGGTATCCTCAGCTTCCAATGCTTCCGTTTCTGTGCTGAAACTATACTATAGGGATAAAAGTATTCTCTTTTCAGAGTTGTCATGAGGACACAAGGTTAAATGACTTGTCCAAGTTTACACAACTGGCATGGAGTCAGCCCAAAAGTACATAGCACAATTCTCAACACATGGTTAAGTGTTGAATAAATGTTCACTATTATTAGAAGTGACAGAACCAGGATTTAAATGCAGGTATCCCAGGCCTACACGTTGTATGTGATGTCACCTGCTATACTATCATCCTCACAAAGGATGATCATGCAGGAACAAGGAACATTTTGCCATTCATGCTTTTTTAGGCACAACTGTGGCCAGTGACCATGTGACAATAAATCCACGGAAAATTATTCATATTGGCCATTGCCCTTGTTCAGGAGATAAAAGCAATTTATGGAAACGAAGCTCAGCCTAAATTAAGAGAACAAAGGAGTCATTTCGACAACCAACATTTAGCAGTGGTGATCGCTGCTTCCTGGAGGACATTTTTCATTCACCTTTTCAGGAAGCCTTTCCTCGAACACCTGGCCCATTTGTGTCAGCTTATTCTCATTCTGAGCTCCATTAGCATTCCATGTCTTTGACACAAACATTCATTTATTTTTTTAAAAAAACATATGTGTTTGCTTTTTTTATCCGTAGAAGTTCTTTCTCTGTCATCCAGGCTGAATGCAATGGGGTGATCATGGTTCACTGCAGCCTCAACATCCTGGGCTCAAATGATCCTCTCACCTCAGCCTCCCAATAGCTGGGACTACAGGTGTACACCACCATGCCTGAATAATTTTTTTAAAAAGAGACAGGGTCTCACTATATTGTCCAGACTGGTCTTAAACTCCTGGCCTCAAGTGATCCTCCCACCTTGGCATCTCAAAGTGGTGGGATTACAGGTGTGAGCCATCACATTCAACCTAAATATTTATTAATATTCTGTTGTGTGTCAGACATCTTTTGGGTTATTGAAAATAGAGCAGTGAACAAAACAGAAAAGGTCTTTGCATTTGTGAGTTGTGGATTCTTGTGTGTATGTGATAGGAGCAGACAAAATAAATACAGAAGATGGAAATACTAATAGATATTGTGTTCATTTTCTGTTGCTGCTACAATTAATTACCACACACTGGATGGCTGAAAACAGCAGAAATTAATTTTCTCACAGTCCTCAGGAGGCAAGAAGTTGGAATCAGTATTACTGAGCTGAATTTAAGGTCTCAGCAAGGCCAGACTCCATCCTGATTCTCTAAGGGAGGTCCAGTTCTTTGCCTGGCTGAAAAGCCTCTAATGGCTGCCAGCATTCCTTGAGTTGTGGCCACATCAGTCCCCACCTTCTTCTCTCTGTGTGTGCACATCTAATCTTCCTCCACCTCTATCTTTAAGGATGCTTGTGATTATAATTGGGGACTACTTACTATTCCAGGATAATCTCCTCATCTCAAAGCTTTTAAATTAATTATACCTGCAAAGATCCTTTTAATCTAAATAAAGTAATATTTACAAATTTTGGTGTTTTGGGAAATATTATTCAGCCGACCACAGATAGTATGTTAGATGGTAATATGTATTATGCAAAGGAAATTAACCAAACTATGAAAGATACCAAATTCCAGCATGGTGTTAGGGACTCTTATTCTCTACAAGGCAGATATGAAAGGCATTGTCTCACTTTAAGCAGAGACGTGAAGGAAGTGAAGCCATGTGTAGGAAGAGGGTATTAGGCAGTGGGGACGGTATCCGCAAAGTCCTGAGGACCCTGTGTGACTGCAATAGAGTGAACAGGAGCTACAGTGGTAAAGGATGTGGTCAAGTGGGGGGCATATTGTGCAAGGCCTCACTAGTCACCGTAAGAACCTTTATTCTGAATGAAATGGGAAGTCATATGAGGACCAAGAATGACAAAATTAGATTTAATTTTTGAAACCATCATTTTGGTTGTTTTTAGGAGGATAGAGTACAGGGATCAGAATGGAATGTGAACATTTCTTAGGATTGTTGCCCAATAAATCTGTGAAACACGAAGATGGCTTAGAACAGAATGGAGAGGTAGAAGGTTTGGAAACTTGTCTGAGTCTAATATATTTCATAGGTAGACTTAATAGGATTTATAGACAGGTCATACATGAAGTGTAAGTGAAAGAGTGGGGAAAAGCAACATTGCCATGTTCTCAGCCTGAACAACAGCAAAGATAAAGCCACCATGAAACTTAGATGGGACATGCTGGTGGATGGGTTGTCAGTCAGGATAGGGGCAAAAACTTCTTCAGTGTGGCCATGCTTTCTGGCATCTGAATTGAGATTCTATGTCGACAGCTGGATGGAAGGGTGTGGAGTCTAGAGGCAAAATCTAGACTGAAGATAGAAATATGAGCATTGCCATCATACAGATGGTGTTAAAAGCCCTGAGGCTGAGTGAGCTCACCTGGGGACTGGTAGAGTCAGGCAGTGATCCATTTGTTCTGCAGCCAGTCCTGAGCTCCCAGGGAACATTTTGCACTGTTCTAAACATTGGTTGATGCCAAGGTGAATTAAACCATTGTCTCTGCTCTCAAGGTGCCCATATTCTGAGAGAAGGGAAAGTGTGTAAAAATATATATGCTTAATATATGAGGCTCAATTCTAGAGTAGCAATTAACTCTGCTTTAGTTATGTTGGGAAGATTCAGAAGTGTGTTTCAAGGGCACTTCATCTAGGCCTGGATGCTTGAGTAAGGTTTTGTAAGTCTGAGGAAGATCAGGACGTCAGGGAGAAGAATAACTTCACACAGAGTCACATGTAGAGGGCTGTGGTTAATACAGAGATTCTCAGCCCTGGGTGCACATGAGAGACCTCTTAAAGAATTGTTTAAAACAAATAAACAATAACAACAGCAACAGCAATTTTTCTTTAGTTTCCACCTCAAACCATTTAAACCAGAATAGGCTGGGCTCAAGCAATGGAACATTTTAAAGTGCTTCAGTTAATGCTAATGTGTAGCTATAATTGAGACATATGAGGATGGGACATTAGGCAGTATTTCTTGGAGTGTAGCCCCTGGACCACCTATGTTACTAATTCCCAGAAAATTTGTTAAAAATGCAGTCTCCTGGTCGGGCGCGGTGGCTCACGCCTGTAATCCCAGCGCTTTGGGAGGCCGAGGTGGGTGGATCACGAGGTCAGGAGACCGAGACCGTCCTGGCTAACATGGTGAAACCTCGTCTCTAATGAAAAATACAAAAACTTAGCCGCGTGTGGTGGCACGCGCCTGTAGTCCCAGCTACTCAGGAGGCGAGGCAGGAGAATGGCGTGAACCCAGGAGGTGGAGCTTGCACTGAGCCGAGATCGTGCCACTGCACTACAGCCTGGGCGAAAGAGCAAGACTCCATCTCAAAAAAAAAAAAAAAAAAAAAAAAAAAAAAGCAGTCTCCTGAGTCCCTTTCACACTATAAAGCCTGAATTTAAAAAGGCATTCAAGGTGAACCTTTTGCACAACAGTGTCTTATAAACACTGGTGTGTGTGATGGGGAAAGCGAATACAATATTAGTGTTGAAAACTAGGTAAAGAAATGTCGTGCTAAGGACAGTGGATACAATCCTGGGGGTACCAGAAAATTAGGTGGCTTTGAAGAGAGAATAAACACACAACACTCTGTATCCATTTTCATAAGGGTTTAAATACAGTGGTGCTTTGAGGTTGGGTGTACAGTTAAGAGGCTGTTGGAGTAATCTAAGTAAGAGATTGTAAGACCCGAACCCATCTATGTCCTGCGATCATACACAGGTGACTCGCCTGTATAGGTCCCCAGGATATAACACATCTCAAAAATGGCCAAATGCACATCCAATCAGGATGCAAGAAGTGTGGTAGTTTAGCTCCTTATACCAAAAATCACCATGGAATTATCTCTCACTTTCCTGCCAGGAATTTAAAATTTCTCTCTGGAGCATAGATGCCTGCAGGAGAATCCTGCATTCCCTGTGTGAGAATTAATGAAACTACTTTTCTGATTCTTTTTAGTCCATTCTATTTGGTTAGTTTAAGTGACGACTAAACATATTAGCTCACATAGGAACTTATTTTTGAATAGCAAGATTTTGAAAATTTAGTACAGATTGCCAAATGTTTACTATGAAAGGTGATTAGTCAGACTGAAACTCAGAGTATTAAGGAATTTGAATCATCTCAAAGGATTTTTTATTACAGTCAATACATCAAATAAATTGGCTACACTCTTCCTTTGAGACTAGCATTAAAGTTGGTCATTCGATGGCTTTTCTTCGTTGTACTTATTCAATTTTAAGACAAGTCATAATTTTTCTACTGAAGGTGAGAGAATCTACAATGGGAAATTCATAATCTTCATAGAGCAAAAACACAAAAGGGAAAAGTGAAACAAATTGGCAAAGCCCATATATATGTGGCAGCCATTATTAAATATATTATATATATATATATATATATATAATGGTAGTTTCTTTCAATAGATTATTAATGGCTGAGGTTGACCATCTTCGTAACTAGTCAACTGAATAAATATTTATCAGTTGTCGGTAGCAAAAGTGATTGAATTCTATAAGTGATTGTAAAAGGCTATTATTTGCGTGGTGCTCAATCAGGTGGGATAAGTCCAATGCAATCTGTCTATCTCACTGATCACTATGAAAAACACTAGACAAAATATAAAAAGCAACTTTCTAAGGACTCCAATTATACATACAGTAGGCTACTGGACATCATTCCATATCTCACTGATGCTCTGTTTATTTTTTTCTGAACTGTTTTTCTTCCTCTGGATTTCATCTTGGATAGTTTTCCCACGTCTTTAAGTTAATGAATTTTCTTATTCTGCAGTGCTAAATCTGCTGTTAATTTCATCCAGTACAGGTTTTACTTTACTTTAAACTCCAAAAGTTTGATTTTAATATTTGTCTCTAACATGTTCAAAATTTCCTCAATTGCCATAAATGTAAGGAATATAGTTATTTGTTATAACTATTTATAACAAATTTATAGTTATAATTATAGTTATAAATATTTGTATAATATTATACAAATAGTTATACAAATAACTATTTGTATGTCTTTGTTTACTAATTCTATCATTTGTGTCATTTCTGAGTCTTTTAAAACATTTTAAATTGTAAATTGACTGGTGATAGTTGTATATATTTGTGGGATACAACATGATGTTATGATTTATGAATACAATGTGGAATAATTAAATCAAACTAATTAACATATCTATCACCTCAAATACTTATTTTTGGTGAGAACATTTCAAATTTACTCTGTTAGCAATTTTGAAGTGTGTAATACATTATTATTGACTATATCCATGGTGTGGAATATATCTGAAAGAAAAAAATTCTTACTCCTCTTGTCTAATTGCAGCTTCGTACCTTTCAACTATCATCTCCCCATATATCCCAAGCCCCTGTCCTCTGATGACTGACCACCATTCTACTCTCCATTTCTTTGAGTTCCATTATTTTAGATTCCACATACGAGTGAGAACATGTGGTATTTGTCGTTCTGTTTCTGGCTTGTTTCACTTAGCATAATGTTTTCTAATTCCATCCAAGTTGTTACAAATGACAAAATTTCTGTTTTTTCAAGACTGAATTGTGTTCCAGTGTATATATATATATATATATATATATATACTTCACTTTCTTTATTCATTCATTTGTTGATGAACACTTAAATTGCTTCCACATCTTGGCTATTGTGAATAATGCTGCAGTAAACATAGGGGTGCCGACATTTCTTTGACACTACTAATTTCAAATATTTCATGTAAATACACAGAAATGGGATTTCTAGATTAAATTACCATTCTATTTTTGTTTGTTTGTTTGTTTGAGGAACTTCTATACAGGTTATTATAATAGGTGTATCAATTTATATTCCTATCAGTCTATTTTTATTTATTTATAGTATTTTCCTGCTTTTTGCATGATGGTTAATTGATCAACCATGATGGTTGAGTGAATGGTAGGTATTGTGGATTTTGGGGTGTGGATATTTTTGCATCCATATACATATTATTGAGCTTTGCCCTGGGGTGCCTTTCAACTACTTACACACTGTTAGAACCTTTTGAGCCTTGCTTAAGTTTTGTGATGAGCTAATCAGAGCAGCCTTTGGTATAGGGCTAATATTAGTTTACGATTTAGGTAAATACCCCTTCGAGTATTCTCTTCAATATCTGGAGAATTATGTAGTTTTCCACTCTATAATCCTGTAACAGTGAGAAGGCAGCCTATTCCTGATCCTGTGTGCAACCTCTGCACATTGTTCCCTTTAATCATTTTGGGGGTTTGCATATTTTTTTCCCAGCCTCAGGTAGTTTCCTTGCAGGCATGTGCTGATCAGTGCTCTGCTTAAAATTTAACGGAGAACCTCTGCAGTTTTTCAGAGTGCTCTGTGTGAGTTTGTGTGTCTGTGCATACACTGTGTAGGTCTCTCCTCTTCAGTACTGTGTCCTGAAAACTTACCCTGTTGGCCTACTTCTTGAAGTTGCATCTTAGTCTCCCCAACTCAGGGAAACTGCCACCCTTTGGATGGGTTCCCTTTCTTGAGCTGAAGTCTGCAAACTCTCTTCAGTAGTAAGGTGCAGCAATCTTAGGGCTCGGCTTGTCTGTTCCTCCCTCTGAGTTATCAGTTCAAAGCCAAACTTACAAAATAAAATGGAACTCAAACCATCCCTCACAGTATATAAACAAATAACAACAAAAAAAGACAATATATCTAAATGTGATATCTTGAATTAAAAATCTTTTAGAAGAAAACATAGGGGAAAAGCTTTATGACCTTGAATTAGGGAAAGTATTCTTAGATATGGCACAAAAAGTATAATTCATCACAAAAAAACCCTCAGAAGTTGGACTTCAACAAATGAAAACATTTTGCTCTGTGAAAGACACTTTTAAGAGGCTGAAAAGACAAAGCAGAGATTTGAAGATAATATTTGCCAACCACATATTTGACAAAGACTTGTGCTCAGGAAATACTAAACACTCTCAAAACTCAGTAATAGGAAAACAAAACACCCAATAAAAAGGTTACAAACAGATACTTCACCAAAGGAGATGAATAGATCACAAATAACCAAAAGTAATGAAGTTCAACATCATTAGTCTTTAGAAAAATGCAAATTAAAAACACAAAGAGATACTTTTACACATCTATTAGTATGGCTAAGGTGAAAAACAAAGCCAATTGACAATACCAAGTTCTGTGGAGGACACAGAACAAGAATAACCATTATTCATTGCTGATAAGAATGCAAGCCGGTAAAACCACTTTGTAATATAGTTGATGGATACTTAGCATGTGATCTACCAATACCACTCCTACATATTTACCAAGAGAAATAAAACTCATGTCCACACAAAACCAAATATGAACATTTATTTTTAGCTTTATTTCTAACATTTCTACCCAAATGTCCTTCAATGGGCAAATGGATAAATACATTTTAGTACATCCAGACAATTGAATACTCCAAAGCCTTGCAGAAGAATGACCTATTTATACATGAAACAATATGGGTAAATCTCACATAGATTGCTGTAGGAGAGATTTACCAACAAGGCTATTTATGCCATATGATTATACTTTTATAACGTTCTCTAAAAAACAAACTGTCGGGATGAAACAATCAATGGTTGCCAGGAGTTAGGAGTTAAGATTTGTTTAATATGAAAGGACTGCTAAGTGGATTTTGAGGTAATAGAACTGTTCTGTGTCTTGTAGCAGTGCTTATGCAACTCTGCTTATTTTTCCAATATCATCAAATTGTACCCCAAAGTAGTGATATTTAATGTATGTAAATTTACAAATAAATTTAAAAAGTGTGTTTATTTTTATTTGAAATAGAAAAATAAACTTCCAAAGTACTTGACTTCCAAGATAATTTGATGGTTTTGTTGTTTTTGTTTTTGTTTTTTGAGATGAAGTATCATTCTGTTGCCCACGCTGGAGTGCCGTGGTGTGCTGTCGGCTCACTGCAACCTTTGTCTCCCAGGGTCAAGCAATTCCCTTGCCTCAGCTTCCCAAGTAGGTGGTATTACAGGCATGTGCCACCATGCCCAGCTAATTTTTTTGGTATTTTTAGTAGAGACAGGGTTTCACCAAGTTGGCTAGGCTGGTCTCGAACTCCTGACCTTAAGTGATCTGCCACACCCTCCTCGGCCTCCCAAAGTGCTGAGATTACAAGCGTGAGCCACTGCACCCATCCTATTTGATGCTTGACAAAAATTAATTGATCAAATTTAAATTCTAATTACCAATTCTCCAAACTGTCACTTTATTCTAAATGATTTCAGTCTTAACAGGATGTTTTCCCAAATTTCATCTTGAATTTCCTCTCACTTCTTTCAGGATGGTGAGATTGATTGCTTCAAAAAATTCCTAGCAACAAGGAGTTGCTATTGGCATGCTACACCAGCATGGGTAGATGCTGAATAGATCACAGGGTTAGAGAAAAAGAAGGGCCAAGAGAACTTCCTGAGAAATTTAACCAAAAAAGTCCTTTCTCATTATTTTCTACCTGTCAATCTTCTGCTTCTTTTCTGAAAAAAGCACAGAATTCTTCCTACCTGATCTTTTATCCCTTCTTGTGTCCTCACCCATCCTGAACCTATGCCTCCTTTTCCTACTTTTTTTTTTTTTTTTTTTTTTGAGACAGAGTCTTGCTCTGTCGCCCAGGCTGGAGTGCAGTGGTACAATCTCGGCTCACTGCAAGCTCTGCCTCCTGAGTTCACGCCATTCTCCTGCCTCAGCCTCCCGAGTAGCTGGGACTACAGGAGCCCGCCACCGCGCCTGGCTAATTTTTTGAATTTTTAGTAGAGACGGGGTTTCACCATGTTAGCCAGGATGGTCTTGATCTCCTGACCTCGTGATCTGCCTACCTCGGCCTCCCAAAGTGCTGGGATTAGAGGCGTGAGCCACCGCGCCTGGCCTCCTTTTCCTACTTTTAACCCACTATTTTGTTCACTGTCACCCAAACACACTCCAGTGTCAGTCCCATGGAAACAGGCTACATGTCTTATCCTTGTCTTCTTGCTGTCTAGAATACCTCTAGAATGTGCATGTCATCCCTTCATCCTTCTTGAAACGTTTTCTTTTCCAGGCTTTGGTAATGCCACATTCTCCTAGTTTACCCTTTCCTACCAGATCGCCAGTAACTGCTACCTACCTGGGCTTAATTCTCTGCTTTGCTAGGCATATTATACATACATACACAAACACACACACACACACGCACATATATATATATGTATATATATATTTTTTTGAGACAGGGTCTCACTCTGCTGGAATGCAGTGGTGCGATCACAGCTCACTGCAGCCTTGACTTCCCAGGCTCAGGTGATCCTGTCACCTCAGCCTCCAGAGTATCTGGGACTACAGGTGCGTGCACCACACTTGACTAACTGTTATTTTTTTTGGAGAGATGGGGTCTTACCATGTTTCCCAGGCTGGTCTCGAACTCACGAGCTCAAGTAATCCACCCACCTCAGCCTCCTAAAGTGCTGGGATTATAGGCATGAGCCACTGGGCCTGGCCCCTACTAGTATTCTAAAGTCTCTTTTCTTTTGAAACTATTCTTACTCCTTGGGTAACCCTATCCCATCCCAGAAGTATACCTAAAATCCATATACTGACAGCCTCTGTGGAAGATTGCTAGTTGTCTCTTGCCAAATCTGTTTGCTCTATCCTCCCCAGGGATAGAATTTCAGCTGAGCTACATTTCTTAGCTTCCCACACAGTTAGGTAGGGGCATTTGAATTGGTTTTTATCAGAAATATGAACACAGGGAATTAATACAACGTTTATGTCTTTTCTTTTTAATGTAACTCCTCCTCTTTATTTCCTCTGGTTTACCCTTTCTACTGGTTTGGGAACAGCTGTACCTGAAGCAGCCCCCAGAAAGCCAGAGAGGGAAGCTACATGCAGACCCTTTCCAAAATGTCTGACACTTTCTATGTCTCCTTCCTCAGGTGGACATTTGTATTCAGCTCTACATCCAGATGTCTTTCTTAAGGGACTGACTTTGGACTACAGAAGTTGTTTGGTTGCAGAAAAAAAAAAAAATGAAGCAAGATGTTAGTAGCCAATGATGACTACTACCCCTGAAACAAACATGATGGCAAAATGCCTATCCTAATATAATGCTCCCCTGCAGGATAATATTGAAACAAAATCAGGGGACTTTGCCTGAAGTTACACCCTTGTTTGGCATTTTCCCGTTTCCTGCTCTGCCTCACCTGTTCACTTGCACATTTTTCTTGGGGATATTCCCTTAAGAAAGCACTTACATAAAAATTCAATCGGAGGATAAGCTTCTGTGAAAACTGACCTAAAGAGCTGCCCATACCCAAACTCTGTCTCCTAACATATCTCTAACTCAATCATACAAAAAGTAACAATTCAAAGACAACTTCTTCTGTATAAAAGGGAATATAGGCGTACACATGCCAGGTCTGTCCCGCAGACCTTGGCCAATGGATGAAATGAGTACTCAGACACAGGTATGCAGTGTAAGAGCAGCTAGGTGACTGCCTGACTCTAGTGGCCAGAGAGCAGCCCCAAGAAGCTGGAGCTGCTTGCTTATATTCAGGGCAGGCACAACGCCGAAAACCTGGAGCCAACACAACCTGTAGGGAATTAACATTTATTGTTCCCCTTTCAGGGAATGTCATGCACGCCGATGATCAAAGGTAAGTTTCTGGTCAACATAAGTAAACAAGCCTGTTTAAGATAAATTCCTCCACATTCCGTTGTACCTACTCCTTGCCCTCTGCTTCAGGGTTATAGAACAGCTGCCTTCAGCTATTCTCCCCTGGGGCTCTGCAGAACCTTCTGACCTTTCAGAAGGTTTGCATCCTTTCCCTATAGTTTTTCCCACCATGTGACTGATCCCCCACATACACACACGTACACACACACACATATCAGTGTAGGAGCAATAAAGTCATAACAGGGAACTACAGGGAACTTATGACATTCAAACTTTGGAGGAGAAATAGGCCTAGGATATCTTTAGTTGTGTAGTAGGGATGGAAGGTAATTTTGTCAGAGTGGGAAGGGATTCCTGAGGGGTTATTTGATCCTGTTTCGTGTAGAAATATTAGGTGTAGGGCTACTAGGGCTGTCATAATAAAAGGTAAGATAAAGTGGAAAGTGAAGAATCGTGTGAGGGTGGGTTTGTCTATAAGTCACCTATGTTTTACACCCATGTTTTATTTAGTGTAACAGGAAATAAAAATAAACTTGAACCTTGGGACAAGGATACTGTCTCTTTACTTTTTTTTTTTTTTTTTTTTCCTGAGACAGAGTCTTGCTCTGTTGCCCGGGTTGGAGTGCAGTGGTGTGATCTCGGCTCACTACAACCTCCACCTCCCAAGTTCATGCTATTCTCCTGCCTCAGCCTCCTGAGTAGCTGGTATTATAGGTGCCCACCACCATGCCCAGCTTTTTGTATTTTTAGCAGAGACAGGGTTTCATCATGTTAGCCAGGGTGGTCTCAAATTCCTGGCCTCAAGTGATCACCTGCCATGGCCTCCCAAAGTGCTGGGATTACAGATGTGAGCCACTGTGCCCAGCCAGGATACCGTCTCATTACTAATCCTGGTATTAGAGATTTAAAAATCTGGAAGTAATAATTAAATCCAATCTATACATGCATTCGTAGCTTACTGCTAATATGGACTGACAGCAAAAAAATTATTCCCTTTAAAAAAAATCCTGAATTGGTAGTGTTCCTACATGCTCTAAAAAACAAACAAACAAACAAATAAAAAACAATAACAAAACCCACACAAATACTCTGGAGAAAAGCATCACACCATCAAACCAGGTCCAAACTAATCCCCACAGATAAACTTGTGGGGAGTATTAATTTACTGTCGAAAGAGACACAAACAAGGACAAAATATGGTAAAGAAGGGTCAGCCGAAATATCAGACAGCAAAGAAAATCAATTTTTTAGATTTTTAAAAATCAGACATCAAGTATAAAACAAGTGCTATATGTATTTCAAAAAATAAAAAAAGCAAAAGATAATATGTTAAGAGGGATATAAAAACTAAGTGCAGGCCAGGCACGGTGGCTCATGCCTGTAATCCCAGCACTTTGGGAGGCTGAGGCGGGCAGATTGCCTGAGCTCAGGAGTTCAAGACCAGCCTGGGCAACACTATGAAACCCCGTCTCTACTAAAATACAAAAAAAATTAGCTGGGCGTGGCAGGGCACGCCTGTACTCCTATCTACTCGGGAGGCTGAGGCAGGAGAATTGCTTGAACCCGGGAGGCGGAGGTTGCAGTGAGCTGAGATCATGCCACTGCCCTCCAGCCTGGGTGACAGAGTGAGACTCCATCTCCAAAAAAAAAAAAAAAAAAGAAAAAAAAACCCAAAAACATGTATGTGTATATATAAAATAAGTGCAAAAGAATCAAATGGAACTTCTAGAAATAAAATATAAAATATTTGGAAAAACAGAAGAAAGAATTATGGCCTAAATGATAGATTTATAAAACATATCCAGAATACAGCCCATAGAAACAAAGACATGGGAAATGTGGGAGAAAGTGATGCTGGGATATGGACACCCAACATTTGTCTAACTGGAGTTCTGGATAAGAGGAAAAATAATGCCTGAAAGATTTTTCATTAATCAGAAAACTTCAGATTCAGCAATCCATAGGAAACCTAAGCAGGCTAAAACAAGGTCTCCACATCTAGACATAAAAATAATGAAATCAAAGAACAACAAAGGGAAAACAACAACAATAACAACAAGAAAACAACCTTTGTGGGCACTACAGTATAGTGGAATCATATTATCAGAGAGATGAGAGAAGATAACTGTTATATATCCAGCAAAATAATATTTTCAAAAACAAGGGAATTTTAAATACACACATACACACACACACACACAAACACACACTTCAAATTCGTTTCACTCTTATTCTTTTTTTTTTAATTTTTATAAATTTAAGGGGCAGAAGGGCAATTTTGTTATATGGGTACCATTTCAAGAATATAAATAGACTATGTAACTTCCAAACTGGGGAAAAACAAAATAAGAAATGCAATTAAATTTAGGCAAAAAGAGAGGAAAAGAGACAGAAAATTTTGAGCAAATAGAAAATGTTGAAAGTGTTAAAGATGAATATAAGTATACTAGATATTATAATAACATAAACTGATTAAATATTTCAAGTAAAAGATAAAGACTGTTAAACTGAACTTAAACAAAAACTAAAATACAACTCTATGCCATTTACAAGAAATATATCTAAAATATATTCAGGCAAAATGATTAATATATGCAAAACGTTGCTACATGCTACTAAAGTATTTACTTCACAAGGAATAGTACTGAACTTGTATAATCTAATAACTAGCTAAAATTATATAGACAATCATACTGAGAAGGTAAGATATGCTTATTTTAGTATTTCATTACATAGGCAAAATACATGAGTGATTTTACAGAAGAATTAAATAACAAAATTTACTACATTGATCTAAAGTTAACAAAATTAACTACATTAATAGTGGTTTTACACCGGTCATATTCTGTGATCTCTATGAATGTAAGTTAGAAAGCAGAAATAACAACATTGTTACAAACATTATTTAAAGTCTTCCTGTTTAAATAGCATACACTTGAAGAAGTCATAACAGAAGTTAGAATATATTTAGAACTAAAAAATGAACACGAAAATTGTGAAATGAGTTACAGTAGTACTTGGATGGAAATGTATAGTACTAAATGTTATACGAATTAGAAAACAAAATTCTGAAAATTAATGACCTAAGCTTCCAACGTAAGATTTTTTTTGAGGGGGGGATCTGAGGAGTTAGGGGATGGTGAATGTGAATGAAAAGATGGGCTAACATCAAATAAAACAAAAAGAAAAATGATAAAGACAAGTAAGGAGGGATGTATACTGTAAGCCACCAGTAAGATTTATCAAGAATAAAAGAGAATGCTCAAAAAATCAATATTAAGAATGAATAAGAAGATATAACTATAGTTAATTCAGAAATTAAGAAGTTAATGAATGCATATAATGAACAACTTTATACTAATAAATTTTAAAACTTAAGTGAAACGAACAAATATCTAAGAAAAATGTAACTTATCAAATACGTCTCAATCAGAAGTAGAAAACTGAACAGTTCTATAACCACTAAAAATGATCTGTGGTTAGTTAAAATTATTCCCATAAAAAAAACATCAGATAGAATGCTTTATGGCAAATTCTTTCAAACACTGAGGGAAGGAGTAAATCAAATGTTACAAAATGAATAAAGAAGGAGAAAAAGTGGTAATACTCTGCCACACATTTTTTGGAGTTCACATAATCCTGATTCCAAAACCTAACAATGGTAACAAGTCTAGAAATTTATTAGGCAATTTCACCCATGAATATATATGCAAACACCCTAAATGAAATACTAAAAAATAGTACCTGTAATGAATAAAAGAACATAATATATCATGACCAAATTGGATCTTCTCATAAATACAAGATTAGAATTTTACATTTTGAAAATTAGTATTTAGATTTTATACTTGGATTAGTATTTAGATTTAGAAAATCTATTTAACTAATTCACCATATAAGAGTACAAAGGCCATAAAATTAGTTAACAGTTTTAGGAACGGCATTAGATAAAATTCAACATCTATTCATAATGAAAAAAATAGCAAAATAAAAATAAAAGAAATACAACCATCTTCTTTAATATAATAAAGTATATATTAAATCCCTAAGTAAATATTCTTAACGAAGAAATATTTAAAGCAATTTATTGAAGATCAAGACCAAAAAGAAGTGTAAACTATCCCCACTTCTAGTTAACTTTATACTGGCAATCCTAGCCAGGCCTGTAAAGCATAATAAGTGTAGAAATAAATGAATTAATAAATAAGTCAATTAATCGATAATGATTTAAATGAAATAAAATTACTATATTTGCAGATGATTCAGTTAGCTATAAAAATAGGAAAGATATACATATTTAATAGAATTAATAAAATAATTTAGTGTGATTGCTATAAAGGGTCAATATATTTTAAAAGAAATTAATTGGCTTTTTATAGAATGAAATAAATAATTAGCTAAAATAATTTAAGTGGTATAACTTAATAAACCACCAAAAAATACAAATACCTGGAAACAAATATAGTCCAAGGGTTATAAGTCATCTAATAAAAAATATAATTTTTTATTAAATATAAAATACATTTTATAAAAATATATTTTTTGATATTTTTTGATATTTTGATTTTTTTAACAAAAAATATAAATTTTTATCAAATGATATTCAGGAAAGCTAACTAAATAGATTATCTATGTTAATGGATGCAAAGACTCAATATTCAAAACATATCAATTCTCCCCCCGAAGTAATCTATAATCTAGTGCAATTATAATCAAATGTCAAGTAATTACTTTGTAGATTTTGGTAAAATAAATCTAAAATTTATGGAAGAACAGAGGACCGAAATTGGCAGGCGTAGCTAAAATAAGAATGAGATTAGGATACTCACCTTATTAGATATCAAGAATTATTAATATGCTATTGTAATTCAAAGATTACAATATATTGTAATGGAAGGGTAAATATATTGCTCTATGGAACAGAAAATGTCAAATAGAAAAATTTGATTTATGAGAAAGCTAGCAATACAGATGACTAGAATAAGGAAAGAATTTTAAATTATTTGTGTTGGCAGTTATTTGACCATATTAAAAAAGAAATTGTATTTCAGTTATCATTTTGCGTAAAATCTTTGTATAAAAAATCTATATTAAAATTATAAGATAAAAGATGTTTTTGACCTCAGAATATGAAAAAGTATTTTGATTTTGGTTTTGTTTTTAACAAGACAAAAGCACTAGCTGTAAGTTTTAACTATTAATATTTTTAAATTAATACTTTTTCTCCATTACTAAACACCATTACAAGTATTAACAGTAAATTTATGTTAGAAGAATATATTTTTATTGTGTAAAGCCATGATGAATATTTGGAATATGCAAAAATCATGTTACGTTTCAAATAAAATAGAAGCAATAGAAGAATAAGTCAATAGCAGTTCACAGAATAGAAAATATGAATGTCCAATGAAGATATAGCAAGGTGCTCAATCTAATCGGTTGTCAGAAAAACACACATTATTGCTTTAAGATACTATGTCATACCCATAAAACTAACAACAGAAAAATAATCTGAAAATATAAATTGTTGGAGAAGGTCTTAAACATAGCTACTGGAGGTTTAAAGGGGTATAACTATATGGAAATTAGTTTGGCTTCATCTAATAAGTTTAAAGGATCTAGATTAAGCCTAGTGGGATTCTTGCACAGTGGCTCTGAGGATAAACATAGAAATACATGTTGGAGTCTTACGTGCTATTGCAACAAATAGATTAACTACTGATTTTAAAAAGAATAAATACATGGCATGTTTATATAATGGGGCACCTGCATATAGTGGGGCACCTGCTTCACCACCAAAAGTTTTTACATTAGTAAAAATGAATAAACTGCTGCTATACCAAACATAAATTACTATCAGGAACATAACGCTAAACATGGAAGTTGCAGAATACATATAATGTGATTATATTTGTGTAGGTAAAAACAAGTTGTCTTAGTACACTTGTGCTACCATAACTATAAATCTGTTACTAGGTAATTTTAAAAGAACAGATATTTATTCCTCACCATGCTGAAGCCTGGGAAGTCAAAGATCAAGGTGTTGGCAGTTTTGGTGTCTGGTGAAGGCTGCTTTCTTCTTTGAAGATGGTGCCTTGTTGCTGCAATCTCTAGAGGAGATGAGTGCTGTGTCTGCACATGGCAGAAGAGATGGAAGGGGAAAAAGGGGAAGGAAGCAGCTCCCTCACACTTCTTTTCTTTCTATTCTTTCTACTTTTAATTTTCAAAATTAACATAAAACATTTGTAGATATTTATAGGGTACTTAGTGATGTTACATATTATGTATTATAGTGATGAAATCAGGATAATTACCTTATCCATATCAGACATTCATCATTTATTTGTGTTAGGAACATTCAACATCCTCCTTCTAGCGATCTGAAAGTACATAATATATTATTGTTAAGTATAGTTATCCTATAGAGCTATAGAACACTAGAACGTATTCCTCCTATCTAGCCGTAATTTTATTTTCTTTAACAAATCTCTCCCTTATTCTCCTCTTACTTCTACCCTTCCTATCCTCTAGTATCCTTTGTTCTACTTTTTACTTCTATGTGATAAACTTTTTATCTTCCACATATGAGTGAGAACATTCAGTGTTTAACTTCCTTTCCTGGCTTATTTCACTTGACATAATGTCCTCCAGTTCCATTCATGTTGCCATGAATGACAAGATTTTATTTTTTTTATGGATCAGTATTATTCTATTGTATATGTAGAGAAACCACATTTTCTTTTTTCATTTCCTCTGTTGTTGGGCACCTAAGTTGATTCCATATCCTGGCTACTGTGAATAGCCTAGCACCTCATTTGTAAGGCCACTAATTCCATTCATGAGAGCTCTGCCCTCATGACCCAGTTACCTCCTAAAGGTTCCACTTCTTAATACTATCACATTAATGATTAAGTTTCAACATATAAATGTGGGAAGACATATTCAGACCATAGCACATGTCAAACGCAATATGTATTTAATAATTCAAATATGTTTGGAAAGATTATTAGAGAGAAACAAAGGATGATAAAACAAAATTCAGAACATATCCCATAAATATATATACCTACTATATGTCTATAAAATTAAAAATACAAAATTTTAAAAATACAACAAAATTCAGAATACTGATTACTGCTGAGGAGGGAGAGAAGGAAATAACACTGAGCAAGTATTACTTGGGGCTTCCAAGATAATGGTAACTTTCAGTCAATGTTTCAAAAAAAGTGGAAGCAAAATAGGTGTTCATTTTAGTTACTCTATATATTTCACACATATTTATAAACATTTGTTTGTTTTCAGTGCTTAATCAAACAATACAAACCAAATCTTGGGAAAAACTTCAGGAAGATATCAAATACTCATCTACGAAATAAAGTTGGCCCTTTGTTTTTATGTTGTTATTGTTTGCCACTGGTAACTTCTATTTTTTTTTATTTTAATTTTTTATTTCCATAAGTTTTGGGGGAACAGGTTACATGAGTAAGTTCTTTAGTGGTGATTTGTGAGATTTTGGTGCACTCATCACCTGAGCAGTATATACTGAACCCAATTTGTAGTTGAGGAAAGGAAGTCATTATACAAAAGAGATACTTGCATATGCATGTTTACAGCAGCACAATTTGCAATTGCAAAAATATGCAGCCAGCCCAAATGCCCATCAGTCAATGAGTGAATAAAGTTAGTCCTTTGTATTCATGGGTTCCACATGTGCAAATTCAACTGACCACGGATCAAAAATTTAAAAAAAAAAACAATAAAAAAAACAATAAAATACTATACATAAAAATACAGTATAATAACTATGTATCATTAGCATTGTACTTAGTATTATAAGTAAAGATGATTTAAAATATATGGGATGATATGTGTAGGTTACATGCAAGCATAGATTAAGCATGCCTTATGAAAAATGCTTGGGACCAGAAGTGTTTTCAATTTTGGATATTTTTGGATTTTGGAACATTTTCATATACATAGTGAGATATCTTGGGGATGGGACCTAAGTGTAAATATAAAATTCATTTATGTTTTCTACACATCTTATACACATTGTTTGAAAGTAATTTATAGAATAGTTTTAATAATTTTGTGTATTGTGTTAAGTACTTGTGTGTGGAACTTTCCACTTGTGACATCCTGTTGGTACTCAAGTTTCAAATTTTGGAGGATTCTGGGTTTCAGATTTTCATATTAGGAATTCTCAACCTATACTATGCCAGTTTATATAAGGGACTTGAGCATACAGAAATTTGGGTATCTGCAGGGGTTCCTGGAACCAGTCTCCTCTGGATGCTGAGGAATGACTGTATATTATTTTTATACAGTGTAGAGATGAAGACATTTAGGACATATTTGAAAATCTTTTTAAAATGGGATAAGCGTCAAGCTAGTATCAACTCAAACTAGCATTATCTGACTTTCAGTCCACGGGCGTTTGTTGTTTAGAAAGATTTTATCATTCGTTTGAAGAATTAAATTAAGTTTAGCCATTCTTAGAAAATAAGTGCTATTTTAAGGGAAGACATAGGATTTGTTACACATTCGAAAAAATGAATTACAAAATTGATAAAGTGGGGTTAATTTATTTTACATAGTCTTTAGTATTGGCATAATTGGTTCATTCTTTGAACCGCAGTTTTTTATACATAAAATGAGCAGGGTGATGTGTTAGATAATTTTAATGTAATTTTCACATAGGAATTTACAAGTCTATGAAAATAGAAAGTTTTAAGAAATTCTTTTAAGTTTTCTAGAAAAAAATGAAGGTATTGAAAAAATTGATTTCTGCCTCTACAGTATATTTAAATATGCTATTTTGGACATAAACACAGTTTTGATATGCAATAAGAAGTGTTAAACTCAGGAAGGCTGATTCCTCCCATTTTCCTTTTATTTCATTTCCTTTCATTCCTCTCATTTTCTTTACAGAATTCTTTTAGTTCTACTAGTTGTTTTGTCCTTAGATTGATCTTATCTATATCTACAAAGAGTCTTACTGAAATTCTCATAGGGATTGTGTTAAGCCTGAATATCAATTTGAGGAAAATTGGCATCTTTCTATATTGAACCTTCCAATCTGTGTACAAGGTAATGTCTCTTTATTTGCATTTTTTGTTATATTTACATTCAAGTATATCATTTTTGAGTGAGTATAAGCGATGTTGCTTTTTTTTAATCAGTGTCCCTGTGCTCATTGCTATTATATAGAAATGCAGTTGACTTTTGTATGGTTGTCTTACATTCTGTGACCTTGCTAAACTCCCTTATTAGTTGTAGAAGTTTTTATGGTAGATTTCTTGGGATGTTCTACATAGAAAACTACATCATCTTCAAAGAGGGACAGTTTTATTTTATTTTATTTTTTCCTTTCTGATCTGTGTGTCTTTTCTTTTTTTTTTTTTCTTTTATTTTATTTTATTATTATTATACTTTAAGTTTTAGGGTACATGTGCACAATGTGCAGGTTAGTTACATATGTATACGTGTGCCATGCTGGTATGCTGCACCCATTAACTCGTCATTTAGCATTAGGTATATCTCCTAATGCTATCCATCCCCACTCCCCCCACCCCACAACAGTCCCCAGAGTGTGACATCCCCCTTCCTGTGTCCCTGTGTTCTCATTGTTCAATTCCCACCTATGAGTGAGAATATGCGGTGTTTGGTTTTTTGTTCTTACGACAGTTTACTGAGAATGATTATTTCCAATTTCATCCATGTCCCTACAAAGGACATGAACTCATCCTTTTTTATGGCTGCATAGTATTCCATGGTGTATATGTGCCACATTTTCTTAATCCAGTCTATCATTGTTGGACATTTGGGTTGGTTCCAAGTCTTTGCTATTGTGAATAGTGCCGCAATAAACATACGTGTGCATGTGTCTTTATAGCAGCATGATTTATAGTCCTTTGGGTATATACCCAGTAATGGGATGGCTGGGTCAAATAGTATATCTAGTTCTAGTTCACTGAGGAATCGCCACACTAACTTCCACAATGGTTGAACTAGTTTACAGTCCCACCAACAGTGTAAAAGTGTTCCTATTTCTCCACATCCTCTCCAGCACCTGTTGTTTCCTGACTTTTTAATGATTGCCATTCTAACTGGTGTGAGATGGTATCTCATTGTGGTTTTGATTTGCATTTCTCTGATGGCCAGTGATGGTGAGCATTTTTTCATGTGTTTTTTGGCTGCATAAATGTCTTCTTTTGAGAAGTGTCTGTTCACGTCCTTCACCCACTTTTTGACGGGGTTGTTTGTTTTTTTCTTGTAAATTTGTTTGAGTTCATTGTAGATTCTGGATATTAGCCCTTTGTCAGATGAGTAGGTTGCGAAAATTTTCTCCCATTTTGTAGGTTGCCTGTTCACTCTGATGGTAGTTTCTTTTGCTGTGCAGAAGCTCTTTAGTTTAATTAGATCCCATTTGTCAATTTTGGCTTTTGTTGCCATTGCTTTTGGTGTTTTAGACATGAAGTCTTTGCCCATGTCTATGTCCTGAATGGTAATGCCTAGGTTTTCTTCTAGGGTTTTTATGGTTTCAGGTCTAATGTTTAAGTCTTTAATCCATCTTGAATTAATTTTTGTGTAAGGTGTAAGGAAGGGATCCAGTTTCAGCTTTCTACATATGGCTAGCCAGTTTTCCCAGGACCATTTATTAAATAGGGAATCCCTTCCCCATTGCTTGTTTTTCTCAGGTTTGTCAAAGATCAGATAGTTGTAGATATGTGGCATTATTTCTGAGGGCTGTGTTCTGTTCCATTGATCTATATCTCTGTTTTGGTACCAGTACCATGCTGTTTTGGTTACTGTAGCCTTGTAGTATAGTTTGAAGTCAGGTAGCATGATGCCTCCAGCTTTGTTCTTTTCCCTTAGGATTGACTTGGCAATGCAGGCTCTTTTTTGGTTCCATATGAACTTTAAAGTAGTTTTTTCCAATTCTGTGAAGAAAGTCATAGGTAGCTTGATGGGGATGGCATTGAATCTATAACTTACCTTGGACAGTATGGCCATTTTCACGATATTGATTCTTCCTACCCATGAGCATGGAATGTTCTTCCATTTCTTTGTATCCTCTTTTATTTCATTGAGCAGCAGTTTGTAGTTCTCCTTGAAGAGGTCCTTCACGTCCCTTGTAAGTTGGATTCCTAGGTATTTAATTCTCTTTGAAGCAATTGTGAATGGGAGTTGACTCATGATTTGGCTCTCTGTTTGTCTGTTATTGGTGTATAAGAATGCTTGTGATTTTTGTACATTGATTTTGAATCCTGAGACTTTGCTGAAGTTGCTTATCAGCTTAAGGAGATTTTGGGCTGAGACGATGGGGTTTTCTAGATATACAATCATGTCATCTGCAAACAGGGACAATTTGACTTCCTGTTTTCCTAATTGGATACCCTTTATTTCCTTTTCCTGCCTAATTGCCCTGGCCAGAACTTCCAACACTATGTTGAATAGGAGTGGTGAGAGAGGGCATCCCTGTCTTGTGCCAGTTTTCAAAGGGAATGCTTCCAGTTTTTGCCCATTCAGTATGATATTGGCTGGGGGTTTGTCATAGATAGCTCTTATTATTTTGAAATACGTCCCATCAATACCTAATTTATTGAGAGTTTTTAGCATGAAGGGTTGTTGAATTTTGTCAAAGGCCTTTTCTACATCTATTGAGATAATCATGTGGTTTTTGTCTTTGGTTCTGTTTATATGCTGGATTACATTTATTGATTTGCGTATATTGAACCAGCCTTGCATCCCAGGGATGAAGCCCACTTGATCATGGTGGATAAGCTTTTTTATGTGCTGCTGGATTTGGTTTGCCAGTATTTTATTGAGGATTTTTGCATCAATGTTCATCAAGGATATTGGTCTAAAATTCTCTTTTTTGGTTGTGTCTCTGCCCGGCTTTGGTATCAGGATGATGCTGGCCTCATAAAATGAGTTAGGGAGGATTCCATCTTTTTCTATTGATTGGAATAGTGTCAGAAGGAATGGTACCAGTTCCTCCTTGTACCTCTGGTAGAATTTGGCTGTGAATCCCTCTGGTCCTGGACTCTTTTTAGTTGGTAAGCTATTGATTATTGCCACAATTTCAGAGCCTGTTATTGGTCTATTCAGAGATTCAACTTCTTCCTGGTTTAGTCTTGGGAGGGTGTATGTGTCGAGGAATTTATCCATTTCTTCTAGATTTTCTAGTTTATTTGCATAGAGGTGTTTGTAGTATTCTCTGATGGTAGTTTGTATTTCTGTGGGATCGGTGGTGATATCCCCTTTATCATTTTTTATTGTGTCTATTTTATTCTTCTCTCTTTTCTTCTTTATTAGTCTTGCTAGCGGTCTATCAATTTTGTTGATCCTTTCAAAAAACCAGCTCCTGGATTCATTAACTTTTTGAAGGGTTTTTTGTGTCTCTATTGCCTTCAGTTCTGCTCTGATTTTAGTTATTTCTTGCCTTCTGCTAGCTTTTGAATGTGTTTGCTCACCCACTTGAGGAGGCAGTCTGCCCGTTCTCAGATCTCTGGCTGCGTGCTGGGAGAACCACTGCTCTCTTCAAAGCTGTCAGACAGGGACATTTAAGTCTGCAGAGGCTACTGCTGTCTTTTTGTTTGTCTGTGCCCTGCCCCCAGAGGTGGAGCCTACAGAGGCAGGCCCACCTCCATGAGCTGTGGTGGGCTCCACCCAGTTTGAGCTTCCCAGCTGCTTTGTTTTCCTAAGCAAGCCTGGGCAATGGCAGGCGCCCCTCCCCTCGCTGCCACCTTGCAGTTTGATCTCAGACTGCTGTGCTAGCAATCAGCGAGACTCCGTGGGCGTAGGACCCTCCGAGCCAGGTGTGGGATATAATCTCCTGGTGCGCCATTTTTTAAGCCCATCGGAAAAGCACAGTATTAAGGTGGGAGTGACCCGATTTTCCAGGTTCCGTCTGTCACCCATTTCTTTGACTAGGAAAGGGAACTCCCTGATCCCTTGTGCTTCCTGAGTGAGGTAGTGCCTCGCCCTGCTTCGGCTCGTGCACGGTGCGCTGCACCCACTGTCCTGCGCCCACTCTCTGGCACTCCCTAGTGAGATGAACCTGGTACCTCAGATGGAAATGCAGAAATCACCAGTCTTCTGTGTCGCTCACGCTGGGAGCTGTAGACCGGAGCTGTTCCTATTCGGCCATCTTGGCTCCACCCCCTGTCTTTTCTTTTCTTGCCTTATTGCACTGGCTAGAACTTCTAATACTATGCTGAATTGTGGAGGTGATGGCAGACATCCACTTGCCTTGTTCCTAATCTTAGGGGGAAACTGTTCATTAAGTATAACAGTAGCTCAGGGTTTTTTGTATATGTCTTATCAAATTGAGAAAGTGACTGTATACTCCTATTTTTAGGAGACGTTTTCCATTAATGAGTGTTGAATTTTGTGAAATGTTTTTTCTGTGTTTATTGATAAAAATGTGATCATTTTTCTTTGTTTTTATAGTGAAATACATTGATTGATTTTTGAATACTGAAAGAGTGTTGCATATCTATAATAAATCCCAAATGGTCAAGGGTCATTTTTATTTTTCATGTATTCTTGAATATTCTACTTGCCAATATTTTGTTAAGGATTTTTGCATCTATATTCATGATATATCTTGGTCATGTAGTTTTCTTTCATTGCACCATATGTTTCTGGTTTTAGAATGAGGGTAATAATAGCTTCATAAAATGCATTGGGAAGTGCTCCCTTCTCTTTCATTTTTGTGGAAGAGATTGCATCAAATTGGTTGTACTTCTTTAAACATTTGATAGAATTTTCCTGTGAAACCATCTGAGTGTGGAGATTCTTTTTTGGAATTCTATTTGAATTGAAAATTGTAGTTCCCTAATATTTATAAGAATATTCAACTTATCTATTTCATGTTGAGCAAGTTGTGGTACTTGGTGTTTTTTGAATAATTGGTTCATTTAATCTTAGTTGAATTTATTTGTATAGAGCTGCTCATAGTATTTCCTTATTAACCTCTGAATGTCTGCAGAGTCTGCAAGGCTGTTTGAAAAACAGACTTAGCAAAGTCTTTATTATGCTAATACTAAGAGTTTAGTGTCCTCCTAATGTATATGCATATATGTATATGTCCTCTTTTTGTATATAAATATAATGGTATATATGAGTTTCTTCAAAAGTAATATCATATACATCATTTCCTGGCATTTTTTTTTTTTTACTATTGGAATTTATTTTTCTGCAGAATCCATTGTAAAATGCCTTCTAGAAAGAACCCTCTTAAGAGTTTTTTCTGATCTCTTATTCTATCAAACATCATTGAGATGCCAGCCTAGAATGGTTATGTTGTGATCAATATCTCTAGAACAAAACTCATTATCTTGAGGTCTGCCCAGGAGGACAAATTTGCCACTTTACCTTTTTTAAAAAGTGTCATTTCATTTGTTATAAAATTGGCATAAAGGGTTGTAGGATTCTAATTGATCTTGGGAATCAGGCTTCCTAAAGGCAGGGAAAAATTTGCTTGTTACTCACATTTACATCCTTAGGGTCTTCAGTGATTATGCCTGGAGATAGCAGATGGTAATCAAATGTCTTTGAATGTATGAAAGATGAAATAAATGAGTTGATCTCATCATTTTTTGTGTTGGAGACAGGTTTCTGGAGGATTATCTGTTATCTGAGTTCTCCTTGTTTTCTCTAGCATTGTAGACAATCAGAACGATATCTCAAATCACTTTTAGAAAATTGTCTCAGGTTGGTGGTATCAATCAGGGGCAATTTTGACCTCCAGGGGACAGTTGGCAAAGTCTGGTGACATGTTTGTTACAAGTAGGGGTGTGTTACCAGAATCTAGTGGGAATAAGCCGGGCATACTGCTTAACTTCCTATGATGCACAGAGAAGCTTCCAACAACAAGAAATTATATAGCCCAAATGTCAATAGTGTTGAGGGTGAAAAGCCCTAAAAGGTAAATGGATACAGCACATAGTTCATGATCCTCACCACATCTCTTCATATACCCCTAATATCAGGTTCATGCTAGCACCTCCCTTTTAGCCCATATAATATTTTTGTTTTCTTGCCTCATGAATTTATTTTCCAAAAGCTTAGGAATTTTGTTAGTCCAAAATCATATATTCCAGGCAAACTGAAAGTGGGAGGAAATCAGTGGTCTTGGAGGATGACAACCTTAAACAATGTGGGATAGAAGTTGGTTGATAGAGAGCTGAGACTCCTAATATTTCAGGAAACAATTTTTCACATATTTTCTGCATGGCCATTCAGAGGTTTTTCTGTGGGATAAAGCCCCAGTTGTCTGCAGTGGTAACCTGGACACTTTATTATAGTTTTCTCCTTTTCTCTCTTGTTCTTCCTGCTCTATCATTCCCACTTTCAAATAAACTGCTGTGCCCAAGTGCCTGTTTCAGATTTTATTTCAGATGAACCCAAACTTGGGCAATGGATCTTTCTTAAAAAACAAGTAGCAACTCCAAGATGCAATGGATAGGAAAGGGATAGGATAGTTTCGCTATTCCAAATCTAGTGTGGGACACTTTGGAAACATAATAATGAAATTAAATAGCCAAAATGTATAACAGGCTACTGTGAGTCACTTTCACTGATCCCAGTCATTTTTATGAGTATGTTGTGAGAAATGAAGTTTCAGGTGCCTTGAGCACTGAGGCAGAACTGGAACAGTTACTAATTTAGAACTAGCATCTACCGTCCTTACTTACTCCTTGTCTTACTTTTCTTTGCCTTAAGTAGACTGTGAGATATGGGGTACAGAAGAAGAACTAGCTATTATAATAATTGGGAAAAGGAGATGAGAAAATCAGTATTCATTTAGGGTATTTCCTCCTGTTCAGATGTCATAGGTGTTCTTTAAATCACTGTACAAATTTATAGTGTCTGTCATTCTGTGAAAAGCATTAATGAAACCCTGTTGAAGGCATTATATTATGAAAAATAATGCAGAGGAGTGAGGAAGACATACAAGTTCCCTACATCGAGACAGATTCTACACTTGAAGTCTGATGCTATAAATGTATGCATAATTGTTCTGAGGGTTGATAAGAGTTGCCTTAGCAGGTGAAATTAGCTGGGGACCTGGCAATATCGTGATCCGGACATTCAAAAGCTTTCAAGGCTCAATGCAGTCAGTCATATGAGTGACTACATACAATATTATTCTGCTTAGATTTCTTCATGCATTATATATAGGTTAAAAAAGGTTGCCGTAAATAGTAGGTTCATAGAAAGGACAGACTGAACGTTTGAACTCTGCAAAAGAAAAATTAAGTGTGAGAGAGAAAGACCGTTTTTCACTTCTTTCCCAGACTCCCTATCACCCCTGTGATGCAGGTGACTGCAGAAGCAACATTAGTTCAACATTAAAATTCGATAAGCCTTTTTCTTGATTTCAATCTGACAGGTCTCCTGCATGGAAGAGAAGCCACAAGGCTGAATGAATGAGTTTCTAAACAAACTGGGTCAGATGTTGCTTTTGCCTGGCTTGCTTAAGATTGATTGGTAATTAAGTGGTTTAAAATTGGTTCTTTCCTAGTGAGGAAAACTTGGTGCAGGGCTTCTCAGGTTTTTTGAGATCTTTAGAGAATTGGAAAAAAAGAATGAGAATGAGAAACAGACATTTTGGAGGGTCTTGGTTTCAAAAGAAGAATGGGATGTGGTTTCCCCTGTTGAATCTCATTTAATGATGGAGTCACTCAGTGTCAGAATTAGAGGGGATAACAAGTGGTCTCTCTCCTGGAGAGCACAGAAGAGTGTATACATCCATCCACCTTCTCAAATCAAAATCAGTGTATACATATGTAACTAACCTGCACGTGGTGCACATGTACCCTAAAACTTAAAGTATAATAATAAAAAAAAAATCAGTGATTTATGAACTGACCAGTATGCATGGAATTGGATTGACTCTGGTGGAATAGATGCTGTTTGGTAAATGAGTGCAGAGACCAAAATGGAAGAAATGGAATCTGGGAAGAAGCCAACATGACAGCCCAGGCTGGGTAGGTCAGCTCAGGGTGAGACAAAATAGGACATTGGAGAAGATACTCCAGCAGCACTTACTCAAGACCAAGTAGGGTACAAGTAAGGACTACTGAAATCCCAGTTAAATCAAAATCACCACGTCTATGCTCCTGTGGAAATGGAAAAATGTAAAAAATGTATACATTAGCATCTTGTATTAAGTAATAAATTAAATGAATGAATAAAATGAATGAATGAATAAATTCAATATAATGAATGAAAATTATATATATTATAAAATACATGTTTACTTGTTTATCTCAATCCCTAACACATTTACCCTGATATTCTGATCATATGCATTCTAAGGTAAACCATTTCTTCTTGTTTTGTTACAATCAGATGTAACTTTTAGAGGACTTTGTGCAAGCTTTATGAATACTTCAGAAATTTGCAGGAGCAGGCAGAAGACACAGGACATATTTTGTTGGCGTTGGTTGAGGGGATAAGTAGTATAGGTAATTTTGTATGGTTTTATATTTTGAATTTCCCGTCAAAGGTATGTTAACTCATATATTAATTCAATAAAGATTTCTGGGGAATAAATAATGGCAAGATGCTGAAGGAAATAAGACAACCAGTGAAAGAGAAATTCTATCTTTAAAGGGTTTATATATTCTATAACTAATAAGATAATAACATAATAAAAAGTTATGGGGCATAAAAGTACAAATGATTATAATAATTGGATTGATTAAGTAGAGACTTTTAAATGGGAGAGGGGTCAGGGAAAGCTCGGGAAAATAAACAAAATTTGAGTTGAAATTGGAGGGTGGGTGGGATTTGAATATGTACAAGTTGGATAATACACTCTGTTAAGAAGTTTTTTAAAAAGCACATATGTGGGGAAAAATAGGGATAAGTACACAGAGCACCAAGAGGCTTGGCTGAAATATTGAATGTATGAAGGAAAATTTAAAAAGAAACTGGTAGAGATTATCTCGTATCACATATTCAAGGTCCTTAAGTGACAGATGGAGGATCTGGGGATTTGGCCAGTGATCAATGAGGACCTACTGAAGGCTGATCAACATGGTTTTGCCCTGAGTAGATAAATTTGGTAATGGAATTCAGGATAGATTTAAATGGGAGAGTAGATTTTAGGAGTCCAAATGAGTATTACAGTGTGCCAGAAGTGTAGTATACTGGGTGAGAGGAACCAACTTAGTAGTGGAGGTGAAAGATGAGAGAGCAATTGATTTCAGACATGTTGAACTCAAGTGCCACAAACATGTAGTCAAATGGAGGAGATAACCTGATTTTCAGAGCCTTTGTTTGCCCATAGTTATGCCAAAGATAGTGTACATATAATGACATTATGTAAAAATGTGTGTCTCCTAATTCACTAAGCTTTATGTTGACCTTAAAAATGACTTTTATGCTCTAAGCAAGTGTTTTTCCTCTTGGGCTATGCACGCAAATCTTCTGATGAGTTCTTAAAACTAGGGAAGCCTTGAGCACCATTCCCAACTCCCTTGGGCTGGGGTCCAGCAGTTTGTATTTATAATATTCCAGAGCAGATTCAGATGTGTAACATGGCAAGGTTGATAAACAGTGCCCACTTTGTAATTTTACAATCCCAGATGGAAAGCAGTCCTATCTGTGGCCTATGACTAAAAACAAATGAGACAGTTGGTAATTAGTGCAATCATAGCTACTTAAGTTGGGTGATTCATAGGACATTTTTGAATTTTATGAGATTCTTACAACAGCTTATAGTTTTGTATTTTGAGAGGTTTTTTTTTTTCTTTACTAGTTGGGACGAAGGATTATTCTTGAAAATTCATTATTTTTAAAAAGGTCATAATCACTTGGTTGGGATTAGAGGTTGCTTCTCAGTGTCCATCTGAAGCCACTTGTTTCACTTCCAGTAATAGTAAGCAGTGCTTTAAGAAGGGGAACAGAGATTGCCCTGAATAAAGCTGTCACACTATGGGAATCAATCTCAGTTGATTTTATCTGAAAATATTGCATTTTAAAATACAGTTTAAATAAACCAAATAATCCATTCCAAAGAAAAATTTCAACAAAGGATTCACATTCAACCATTTTCATAACCCCAGGGTATGTGGGCTATTGCATTTTGCCTGACAGTTCCTGTTCATGTTGTATATTTTTGCATAGTTCTAAGGTAGATATTCGGAAATTTTCTTCTTTCTTGTGAATTAGATTAATTACCATTATCCTAAGATGCTTCAATATTTCAGTATATTTGGCTTCAAAATAGTATTTTAATGAGGATATAATGCTTCATTAGATACACTGTAATTAACAGATTATTCCCCCATTAGTGGACATTACTATTTTGGAATTTTTGTTAAGATAAGGAATGTTGTTGTTAACATGGAGTCTGTTGGGCTTTCACTTAAGAAATATACATTAAACAATGATTTACAATACTTGCTGTGGGTGAGAGATCCAGATGTGAATAAGCCTTTACCTGGTTGCATGAAGCTGACAATCTCATAATAAATTGTATGACTATAATAGTGCCATAATTGATGACTATACAGATGTGGAAATACAACAAAGGGACACAACCATTATATGTGGATCAAGGACAGTTGAGACAGAGAAATAATGCCTGCATTGAGTCTGAAGGATGCAGAAGGATTTAGTAGGAAGGCAAAGTAGGGAAGGAGCCTATTCTGAAGAAATGAAGTAAGGCTTTTGCAGAGCCTCAAAGCTTATGAAAAGGCATGGAGATCAAATCAGAAGGAGCAGGTTGTTTGGTGTTAAATAGCTTAAAGTGTTTAAATTAGAGTGGTGGAAAATGAATTTGGAAAGAGAGGCAATAACTTAATCTTCTTTATTTTTTCTTTATAATAAAATGCAAGTAGTAATATTATGGGGTCAGAAGGAAAGAATATTTTTATAGCTCTGGATATGTATTGCTAAGTACTTTGCAAAAGGGTATGTGCCAATTTACAATCCTAACAGCTATGTATCAGCATACCAGATTCACCAGCTGATTACTGGCTATATAAATATAATTAACAACTTAGGTGTTTAATTATTTGGTTAAAATTTTTATTGTGAAATATATTAAAAATGCTAAAAAGTATACAATGTACTCAGTAAAGTAAAACGATGTTTATATAACACGTATCCTACATTGGGTTTAATAAAGAACTGATTTCCAGTGACTTAGAAGCCCTCCTAACCTATCTTATCCTCTTTATCCACACCATAACAGGGATAGCCGCTCCCTTAAATGTTGTATTGTTCTTTATTTTTCTGTACAAATTTAATATGTATATATCCCCTAATAATATTTGGTGAAATTTTGCCCACTTTGAACTTTACATAAACAGAATCATACATTATGTATTCTTTTGACCAACTGTTTTTAGTTAACATTTTATTCTTGAGATCCAAGTTGTGACTAGATTTGGTAGGTTCAGTTATTTTCACTGCTTTAGTGCTGTATTGTATGAATGGATTATATAGCACAGTTTATTTATCGACTCATCTTGCCAACTGTGGATGAACTTTTTCATCATTGCTGTTATGAACATTTTTGTACATGACTCCTAGTGGCAAATTCCTGTAGAATACGTACATTGAACATCAAAGGGCAGGGTGTAGATATGTGCATTTTCAGCCTTCCTAGGTAATACTGAATGCTTTCCAACGTGACTGTGACAATTTACACTCCCACTAGCAAATATGAAATTCCATTGTCCCATTACCTCATGTCCTTGCCCCCACTTTTTTAAAATTTGGCCACCCCAGTGCATATAGAATAGAGTCATTATAATTTTATTTTGGATTTTCTTTTTTTTTTTTTTTTTCAGATGGAGTCTCACTTTGTTGCCCAGGCTGGAGTGCAGTAGCACAATCTCGGTTCACTGCAACCTCTGCCTCCCAGGTTCAAGTGATTCTCCTACCTCAGCCCCCTGAGTAGCTGGGATTACAGGCACCTGCCACCACACCCAGCTAATTTTTTATATTTTTGGTAGAGACGGGGATTCACCATGTTGGCCAGGCTGGTCTTGAACTCCTGACCTCAAGTGATCCACCTGCCTTGGCCTCCCAAAGGAATTTTCTTATTTTTAAATGATGTTGAATATCTGCAATGTTTTGGGACCATTTATGTTTATTTTCCTAGGGATAGTAATGCATTTTGCCATTTTTTGTATTAGATTGTTTATTTTTCTCTTATTGATTTATTGGAGTTTTATAGGCATGCATGTTAGATATCACTGTTTGTTGTATGTTTCAAATGTCTTCTTCCAGTTTACTGCTTCTCTTTTTCCATTATTTATAGTGTTTTTGATGAGCATTAAAAAATTTGTATGCAGTCATCTTATGCAAGAGAGGAAAGCCTGCATGAGAACTGAAGCAACACTCAAAAAGCAAACTGGGCTTATGAAGGGAGAGAAGGAGCAGGGTTTGATTACTTACTTTGGAGCCTGAGCCAAGGAATGCCTAAATGCCCCTAGAATATTCAGATCCTAGAAGTATTCATTGTTAGAACTATTCGGGTTAGGTTTTCTCTCAATTGCAACTTACATTATTGTAATAGGCAGTGATACCACGTTGTCCTCTAGGATTTTACTTATACTATTGAATGTCACCAAGTTAGAATTACTATACAGTTGTTAAATAAAAACCTAACTAACTTTCATTTGTCTCATTTCAAAAACCTGGTGATTCTTCTCTGCTTAGTCCCTCAGGATTGTTTATTATTTTTCTAAACATGCTTCTTACTTGTCTTGCATATAGGGAAATCTTGAATGTAGGTCTTGGTGAGCTAGAATAAACTTCTCCCTTAGGGATATTGGGAAGCAAAAAGTAAATGCATTTCCCTTTTGCACACCGAAGAACATTTTACTCCAGATGAATTGGTAACCTGCAAATATTAGATGACTCACTTTTTAGGCCCAATTTAGAAAAAAAGGGCTTCAGTTCCTGTGGAAAAAAAAAAAAAGGCCTTCCTAAAGATCCCTCGGGTAGGCCAGTCTCTCCTCTTATACCGTGGATCTCAATCCCTCTTGCCTTGTGAAAGAATTTATTCTTTCAGTCATTCTTTTCTCCTGTTCCAGCACTCTCTATTATTTTCTTATTTCTATAAACAAACATCCTTTAGTGCCTCTTATTAATAGAAATGAACAAAACAATGTCCCTTTTCCCCTCATGTCTCTCTGGCTGCATTCTTTTTTTTTTTTTTTTTTTTTTTGGAGATGGAGTCTCGCTCTACCACCCAGGCTGGAGTGCAGTGGAGCGATCTCGACTCACATCACTGCAACCTCCACCTCCTGGCTTCAAGCAATTCTCCTGTCTCAGCCTCCCGAGTAGCTGGGATCACAGGCGCCTACCACCACGCCCAGCTAATTTTTGTATTTTCAGTAGAGACAGGGTTTCATCCTGTTGGCCAGGCTGGTCTCCAACTCCTGACCTGAGGTGATCTGTCCACCTCAGCCTCCCTAAGTGTTGGGATTACAGGCGTGAGCCACCATGCCCAGCCTGCATGCTCATCTCTCTGCTCCCCTTTAGAGCCACACCTTTCAAAAGTTTCCTCTACACAGAGTTTCCAGCTCCTCACTTACTAGTCTTGCCTCCAGTGCAGTTTCAGTTCTCATTGCTCCACTGAAAGTGCTCTTGTCTGTGGACACGTTTTTGTCCTTGCCTTACCCAATCTCTGCTGTTTCTCCTTTATGGATGATATATCTCTCTTGGCCTATTTGACACCATACCTTCCTCCTCACTTTCAATTGGCTCTTTTCATTTCTCTCCTTGACTAATTTCTCCTCGTCTTATTTGCATGAATCAGAGATGGCTCCACAGTACAATAGAAGACCCTCTTGTTTCTACTTTTAGCCCTAAGGTGGTCCATTCCTCACCGTAGCTTTGCCCAGCATCTGTGTGATAAAAACTGCAAAATTTGTCCAGCTGAGGCTTCTCCACTAGGCTAAAATCATATACTTCAAACTAGTTGACTATTGGTGCATTTGGGTGCCTCAAAGCTGTTTCAAATTAAACATGGACGAAACTTATTTTAATATTTCCAAAAACTCTTTCTACCTTATTCTTCTTCATCTCTTTAAGAGCACAATTATTACTCACTTGTTCAAATCAGAAACCTTAAATGTATCCTTAATTATTCTCTTTATCTCAATCACAAAATCTAACATTTATTGACAACTCATTACCGTTCATCCCTACAGAATACGCCTTGAACCCATGCTTTCTCTTTGATAATGACTTCCATGACCATATTCTCAAAAACAATCATATCTCACTGAGACTATTCCTACGGCTTCCTAATGGGTCTTTCACATTTACTCCACCATCATCCAGATTTTTCATAACAATCAGACTGATGTTTTTTCCAACGTAAGTAAAATCATGTCATTTTCCCAGCTTAAAATCCGTAAGTGGCTTTCCACTCATCTTAGAAGAAATCTTAAACTCTCTTCTTTGGTCGCCCGCTTGACCTGGCGTAACTTGCTCTCTTTTCTCTCCAATCTCATCTTATGAATGTCCTTTTGCCATGTCCTCTCTCACTTCAGAAGCTTTGCATTTTCTAGCTGTTTTGTCTGGATTGTGGTGCACTAAACTGTGCTTCTAGGTTCTTATAGGGCTACTCCTTCTCATTCTTCAGGTCTCACTTGAACCCACCATCACCTTATCTTAGTTCACTCCAACGTGTGACTTTTTCTATCACCTTACTTTCTCATGTTACTTGTAGCACTTTCCACAAGTCTGAAATTATTCATATGCTTCCCTATTTGTTTTCTATTTCCTAGCACATTGTAGACACACAATAAATATTTGTTGAATGAATAAATGGTAATGATTTCTAAGGACTGAAAAAAAGATCTATGGTAGTTATCAATCTCACATTAACGTGAATTGTTTCACAAAACTGTGACTTCTCTTCCCTGAAACTGTTTACTTAGTCAATACATAATAACATGGCAGGGGTGCTGTGAAGTTCTCTCCTCTATTTTCTAGAAGGTTGGACTAGTTTGCCGATAAGGTTAAAGTTTGGATGAACTAAGGTGCATAATTAAAATGCTAACAGAAAAGTTTAAATGACAAATCATGTTGCTCAACAAATAAATCAACAAAAAAATAAATAAGCAAATGAAGTTTTATTTGTCAATATTTTCGCACCTGCTGTGAACCTCTGAATTCTCATTCGGCTCTCTGGAAACTAACTGGTACTGGTATGCCAGTGTTTACAAGCTAGGGTAACCAGTCGTTACTCTTCAGTCAAGAGGCTAACTAGTATTTACAGAGGTTAAGGTGTGTCTTCCGAAATTTTTCTTATTTCTTCAAATTTTGCCTCCAGAAAATTTTGCTAATATACCTTAGAATCTGATTACTATGGCTGCAATTTTCCTGACATCTGGCTGTTATTTAAGCCTTTTACATTTGTGTGTATTTTTTTCTTTTAATTCACTCCCATTCCTCAAAGAAGAAAGTGAATTTCAAAATTATATAACATTATGCTCTGATAAGAGTAAATGGAAGTGTTTATGAGCTGTTGAGGTTATTTTGGTTCTACATCTGGTGTAAGTCTGGAAATGTGCATAGTTAAAAGCTAATTTGGAGAATGTTGGAAAGTAGTAAAAAATGATCCATGAATCCCCAAACGTGAATTAGCATTTTATAAATCACAGCGCTTCTCACCTGAACGAAGTGCTGAATGGACCAAGAATTCATCTTTATGAGTCAACACAAACTTGGAGAAGCCCCTTATAGGAATCATGGGACTGCATTATAAGGAAACAAACTAAGGACATCATAGGCAACAATTATATTGTTGTAAAAAAAGGATTGGGGCAAATTAGGTAGATCCAATATCTGAGAAAGATAAATATTCAAAGTTATTTATTGTACCAGGAAGTTCCAAGTTCATAATTTGTTTCCTCTGGTTCTTTAAGCCCCACTAGATTTTGAGCTGCATAAAGAATATAAACATAAAAAATATAAATACACCATAAAGAATATGCTGTATTTATATTTATATCACCGTTATATGACAAAGATTTTTTGGCACCTAATTGCCATTTCTGAAATTAATGAAACAACATTATTTTTCCAACCTTTATTTTTTGTTAAATAATAGAATGTTATTGTCACCTCTTTGGACTTGAATAAGAAGGGTTGTTATTTGGACTCTTTATTTGGTTTTGAATTTTTGTCATTTTAGAAAGAAGGTGTGTGTATTACTGTAAAAAAACTGAGGACTTATTTGACAGCCACCTTTCTTGCCCTAAATATACTTTTATTTATATGGCAGGTATGCTGGTCTTTATCTCTATTTGTTTTTATGGAATCGATAAAGTGCTAAAAGTACACTGTATGCATATTTAAACATAGTTTTGTTTTAGTAAGTATTTTTATAACTTTCAGACAAAGTACATATCTCAAGAAATTTCAAATGAAAAAGCTTTTAAGCAGGTTTTAAACTCTTAACTAATTTGCCAAATTTATAAGTTTTTCACTCTTATTAACTTCTCAGATAATGTTGGAGATGAGAATAAGATAGAACAATAATATCTCAAATTGTGATTTACTTCCTATGAATGTACATAAATTAGATGGGAAGAAGAAATAAACAACAGCCACAAGAAAGCAATTTTTTTTTTTTTGAGACAGAGTCTTGCTCTGTTGCCCAGGCTGGAGTGCAGTGGCATGATCTCAGCTCATTGCCACCTCCACCTCCCAGGTTCAAGCAATTCTCCTGCCTCAGCCTCCTGAGTAGCTGGGATTACAGGTACCCACCACCTTGCCTGGGTAATTTTTGTATTTTTAGTAGAGATGGATTTTCACCATGTTGGACCAGGCTGGTCTCAAACTCCTGACCTCAGGTGATCTACCCCCCTTGGCCTCCCAAAGTGCTGTGATGACAGGCATGAGCCACCACACATGGCCTAAGAAAGCTATTTTTTAAAAAGATTTACCTCTGGAAGCAAAAGAACAATATGGCAATTGTAAGAATGCAAATCCTCATTGAAAAGTTAAGCTGCCATTTAAAGACAGCATCTGGTCCACTTATAGTATTTTTTGTTATTTTGTTTTTTACTTTTTCTATAATAGAACAATATTTTCTCTGTCCATGCTTATCACTGAAATGAAGGAAGATTAGAAGGCTTCTAAACTCGAAAAGAGTTGGGGGAAATTTGTTATTTAAATCAGGGAGATATAATCAGATTTACATTATTGAGTAATAGCTAACAGCTGAAATTGATTGTGCACCATTGCAAATTATAGCCAGGTGTTTCTACTTTAAAAGTTATTTTAGATTTTTATCTTAAATGTGGTATGCAAATATCAGTAGGGATTTGTTATTACGACTATGATCATAACAGAGATATTGGTGTGGACTAATTTATGTAACTGTGATGCATGCTATTCAGTGACCTCACAGATATTTTTGCTCATTGGAAACCTAACTGCTCCCAACCAGCGCTAACACTCTGTGTCTCTCTTCACCCACTGGCAGTGAGTGGAACAATTTCCACAGTTCAGAAAAATGACATAGGTTTTAGGAAGCTCACGTTATTCAAGAAAGCATAATAAATATTTGCCATTTTAAACAATGCTTTAACTAAGTTTTTTTTGTTGTTTTTTAGTGTGTAGAAAACAATTTAATCAATGCAATTTTAAAAGATATTATAAGTGGTAGCCTATAGGGAGGAGATGGTGGTACCTTCGTAAGAAACTATTGTTAGCTCTTAGTGATATGTCACTGACCTCCTGTGCATCTGATACTGCTCACAAGTTCGACCTAGGTACAGGTTAAGCATGTGGTTTGGTCCCATCCTTAAGGATTCTGATTCAGTAGTTCTAGGTGGAATCTGGCAATCTATACAAGTACTTGAGTGGTTTCTGATTTTGGTTCTTGAAGGAAAACAAATTGAGAAACACAGATCTAAATATCCTTCCACCAGCAAAGGCCTGGGAACTGCCTCCATATGCACTTCCCCTTCTCTACTGAATGCTTTCCTTTTTCCCACTGGTTCATTTTTGACTCATTGTGAAATCTTCACAGAACACCCTCAGCAGAATACATAGTCCTTCCCAGTGCTCACTACCCATCCCACACAGCAACATTGCTTTAGTACATTGAACTATACTTATTTCATTTTACATTTTCCCCGACTAGCTTCTCAGCTCTTTGAGGGCAGGGACTGGGGCTCTTTTTTTCATTTTACTGTGTGTTTTTATTTTTAAATTCCTAGTGCAAGGGGTAGTGCCTCATATACAGGAACCACTCAATACATATTTAAATAAATGAATATATTAAAATAAATTGATGGAAATAATACATTAACCAAGGCTGTTTCTATATAAACATGGCTCTGGCTTGGAAGGAATTTGAAACACATGCAAAATATCATTTGGTGGGATTTGTGTACTTCCTTTGTCTATGCCCTGCTTTGTGATAATTTTGCATTCTCTGCATAATTTTAAAGAAGCTCGTGGAAGATATCTTGGTTTCTGACTTAAGTAACAGGTGTCTGGAGAGTCCAGAGTCATTAGTATCTATAGTATAAATCTATATTTATATCATAAAATCTAATAGAATCCCAAATTACTGATCATAAGAAATAGTGATTTTTAAATACTGAAAGTAAAACATCATGCTAAGTGCTTTAATTATTTTTCCTGGGAACTGATAATTTTATTATACCTGACAAAATTAAGAAAAATGAATTCTTTGGGGAACTAGAATCTGAAAAGTCTGCACATTTTAAGTGTTTTCTCTTTGGATGAAGATTTATTTTATTTTAATAGGGGACCACCTAGTGAGTGAAAAGGTTTAAAAGACTTCTGTGTGCACATTAAAATTTTACATGCTCTATGTTCTTAGTATTTTACAATGTATATTATACATTTCCTGAAAAAGCAGATGATTCCTCAGAATGAAAATCATATTCTTAAGATAGCCATTTGTTTGTACCTACTTATGTGACCCATACTTAGCTGCCTGCTTTAGGTATATAAATAAGAGATTTGGATCAGTTCAATGAGATATGGATACTTCTTGGGGAGTGGTTTTCATGTTGACCAAGAAACTCAAAAGTTTGGATAGACATTCTAAATAATACCTACTCAGTTCTTTAATTAATATTCTTTAAGGGGATACACTTGGGTTCATTTAATTTTTAAGGAAGTCCTGATCCTGAGGAACATGTTGTATTACACATATAATATGACAATGGGGCATAAGTTGTGAAATGGGAACTGTTTTGAACAATCTGGGGAAAGTGGCCATCACAACTAACAGCCTGAACTTTCTCCTTGATGTTCTGAAGCTATGTGCATATTTAACCCTGTGTGCATTCTTGGATCTAAAGATATTGCTCCATCAACTAGGACATGCTTAGGCAACACTAAAAATGCTGCTGATTAGTAGAAACATAATGCCAACATGACTTATGAAAAACTTTTTTGAGAGAGACCTTCTTGCTATGAAAAAATGATACATTTTGAATCAGATTTTATATTTAATAGATGATTATGCTTTTTCCACTTTTTCTAGTGGGCTCAAGGCAGATGATACGTTTTAATAAATCAAATATAGTCTAGTTTGCAATAATTTCTTTTGTATTCAGAATACAATTGGTCTTTTCTTGTATCACTTGAACTAAGATAATAATTCAAACATGCAGCTTCTCTCAAAATTTCACCTACACATTTCTTTCTCACTTTGAAAACAAAGGAGTTTCTCCTCCATGATTTTGTTTTTTATTATCAAAATGAGTAAGTCTTGCAAGCAGCCATTGAAAAACAAAAATTAAAAGATTTGGATAAAAGATTTTACTTGCAAAAAAGGTGATTAAATTAAGAAGATGTACTTTGGGAGATGCATATTATTATTAAAAGCACATTCTAACAGAGCATTCAATTCTGAAACAAAAATCATCTTCTGTACAAAGTATGTATTTTGGAGTAAAAGCTTAGGTTCATATATTAATTTCATTGGTAGCTGGATGACTTGATCACAAATATTGCTCTGAGACCCAATTTCCTCATTTGTAATATTTGTAAAATAAAATGTATACCTCAAAGTGTTGCTATAAATATAAAATGAGCGAAGAGTTTTAAGCATATATTCTGGTATCTGTCACGCATTATCAACCCTCGATGTGTTAGTTTGCATCCCCACACAGCTTAGGCTGAGAGACTTACTGGCACTTGCACTGAGAGAAGACCACAAAGTCAACATTGGGTCAAATATAAACAGACCTCCTGCTATTTAAAGCTTTAATATGTGTGTATAATCAGTTAAATAGAGCAGCTCAGTAACCAGTCACACAAAAGATGCATTTCATACAGTACATTATCATCATAAATACGCTGCAAATTTCCTCCACGTACAATTGCTAGGGTTTTGTTTGTTTGTTTTCACTGCAGCAGCAAAACTGAAGGGTGTGGAAGGAACATCTTCATTAGAATTATGGAATTCAGCTGGATTTCCTCAAGAATCAGATACGTGTGTTTTAAATATATATACACATTTTAAGGAGACTTTGTTGCTTGAGAATGTTTGAGAAAGTGATTGGAGAAATATATACCATTTAACAATATTATATAGATAATACAAATTATATACTCAGGCATCTGTTCTTAATTTTTATCAGATATTCTATTGAGATTCAAATTTTAGGTCTTGTGTTCCCCAAACACAATCCTATGTCTTGTAGGAAACTTGGACAGGAAATTATCCAGACAAAAAGCCACAGAGAATGGCTGAAACCTATGGAGCCTTGGGAAGCAAAGTGCAACTGTGCCTTGCAGTGATTCCTCCACTGTCCGGAGTACACGAGGAGTGTTGGATGGGGGCCAATACTAAAAATGAGCTCTCAGCCAAAAATGACAAACGTGCATATATTTAACTTAGTAATTAAGTATATCTTTCAATTCTAGAAACTTTATTTAGTTATTGTCTTTTGATCCTTTCTCTTTTATCTCTTTGAACATTATAATCATACCCATTTTAAAGTTTGTTTCAGGTTTTTAATTTTTAATTTATATTCTGTCTGGAGGAAATAAATCACCATAGTGAAGAGTCAGCAACTTGAACAAAGCAAAAGTTTTGGACGTGGTTATGGACTTAATTGTCTCTCCCCCAAATTCATATACTGAAGGCCTAACCCCCAATGTGACTGTATTTGGAGACAGGGCCTTTAAGGAGATAATCAAAATTAACATTTTTCATAAGGGTGGGCCCTACTCCAATAGGACTGGTGTCCTTATAAGAAGAGGAAGAAACATGGATTGGTTTTCTCTCCCTCCTTCCCTCTCTCTGTCCCTCTCTACCCCCCTTTTCTTTCCTCCCTCCCTTCTTTTTCCCATTCTCTCTCCTTTTTCTCTCCCTCTCCCTCTGTCTCCATAGGCACAGTAGAAATGCTATGTGAAGACACAGCAAGAAGGCAGCTGTCTGTAAGCCAGGAAGAAAGGCTTCACCAGAGACCATTCTGCTAGCACCTTGAACTCTGTGATTCTAGCTTGCAGCCTGTGAGAAAATAAATGTATCTTGATTAAATCACCCAGTTTATGGTATCTTGTTATGGAAGCCCAAGGTGATTAATAGAAACACCAAGGCTTATAAATTACAAATGATCTGAAATAAACTTTAAAAATAGTTATGAATACTATTGAATTATGAATGGTTAAATAAATATATAATAAATATAAATATGTATTATATATATTAAATATAATAAATATAAGAAAAACACCAAAAGGCAATAACCAATTAGAAATGCAAGAAATAGAAAATACATAGTTACTAACTTACATAAATGCCCATTAATTATCAGAGTAAAAGTAGATCTGATAGCAGGGCAGAAAATATTGCAAACCTGACCCCCACCTGGAAGAGTCCCAATATGAACACATACAAATGCTGGACAGTATATAACAAAAATATCCTTTAAAAATTAATAGAATCATTCACATGAAAGAGTGAACTCACTAGTTGGCAGAAATAAAGAGGGGTTTTAAAGCCATGTTCTTATGTTACATATGATGCCTACCTAGGAATGTGGTATAAAGAATCTGCTGAGCCCTTCTGCAAACGAGGTAGTTGTGTGTCTAGGGAATGGGATAAGGGGCCAGAAGGCTTCGTTCAAACATCGAATTGACAGTGTCCTACTAAAGCATGGAGTTTTAAGTGTTGGTTTGTGAAAGCAGAACTTCTACAAATGGTACCAAAGTGGTGGGAGAGACAGAGTAGTTATTACTGGTTGCTTGAGTTTCCAAGGAGGGTTATTAGAGGCTTTAGAACAGTTTTCTGCAAGCTAGGCTGGCATTATGTTACTACTGATCAGCAGCCTTTTTAGTGTTGCCTACTCATGTTCCAGTTGATGAGGCAACATCTTTAGAGTCAAGCATGCACATGGGATTAAATGGGCACATAGCTTCAGGACATCAAGAGGAAAGCTCATGCTGCTAGTTGTAATGGCCACTTTCCCCGGATTGTTCAAAACATTTCCTATTTTCCAACTTATGTTCCACTGTCATGTGTTTAATCAAACGTGTTCTTCAGGATCAGGCTTTTCTTAAAAATTTGATGAACAGTGACTTAAATCAGATACTGACCTCAATTCTTTTCTAATACTCAGCCACTCCCCAGAAAAGAGTTCAGAGTTTCTGAGCTCACTAAATGTCGTAAACTACATATACATTTGTAAACTCAGGTGTTATAACGTTCAGTTGAAAAACTCTGGACATACATGCTGCTCTATTTGAAAGAAAGAAGAAAGAGGGGCTGTGCTTTGTTTCCTTCTTTCTGTCTGTATCATCGTGAAGGAAATAGCAGCAACTGAACCATATCTGCCCCAGCCCACTGAGAAGTGATTCTCTCTTCCTGGGGCTTGTCTTCCTACAGAGGGCCAGCTTCCTCTCACTGTGTCCTGAGGTTTGGTGCAACTTAGCAAGCAAGGTTTTTCTCCTTTAGTCTTTCAAGAATATTGGGAATAAAAATTTATTTCCAGAAGAGCAAGATGAGAATAAGTAAAGTTTTCTCTGTTAGGGCCCCTGTTTTATCTGTGGTTATAGATATTAGCTTTCCTGAATTCCATTTCTTCAAAGAAAAGTTGACTGCAATCCTGGGTTATGAATATTCTATGTGATAGCCATTTGAGATGAACTCTTTGCATCAGTTTCTAAAATAAAAATAATAATAATTGCTTTTGCTTGTTGCCATAAATTTAAATAATGTTTGAGCATCATTTTTCTACTCAAGGTGACATTAGTGATAAACCTGGGTTGGGTGCTCTGTAAATATTAATAACATATCAAAACATGTGATTTGTCAGTCAATATTGCTATAAAATTGGCCTGAATAATGGAATATGAGGAGGCATCAGTGACCATCAGAACAAACTCAAAACGTGACCAGATTGATTAAAGAAACTGGAGAAAAAAAATAGAAGAAAATTGTTAATATACAATTGCTCTTTAAATGTCTTTGCATTATTTGGTTGGATGATCATTGCTGGCATCATAGCATCCCATTTTAATGTCATTAAAAGTCCTTTGTTTTCTAGGAAACATTTTAAGAAAATCTAATTCAGTAATGTTTTAATTTTTATAAATAGCATTCAGCACATTTATAAGTAGGAAATAATAAACATTAAAATAATAATGGTTCAGGGATGTTGCTTTTTAAAATTAAAAAAATGAAAATTACAAACGGAATTGTAAGTACATGTAAAATATAATCATCCATCTATAACACATAGACATGATAAAATGCATTTTAAAATTTTAAAGTATCTGTGTCTATAGATATAATTTATATCCAAAATCATGAGTGAAAATTTATGAGCAGTAGAGAGAGAGTCTGGAGCCAAAGTATCTATGGGAAGTCAGGACCATATATAGATGATCTGGTCCAATTTTTAATGCCAACCAAGAAACAGATGCCAAATGCTTGTTACGCTTGGTAGAGAATAAAAACCCTGTTCTTCATGTGTAAATAAGAACTAAACCATGCATCTTTTTGGTATACGGTGACTAAAAGAGTACCATCCATCTAGGTCATTGACCCTAACCAGATTGTCATTTCTATAAGGAAAAGACACTCAGAATGACAGGCGATTTCTCACCATCAATATCATCTGTTAGAAGCTAAGGGCACAATAACTTCAAAGGGTCGAGGGAAATAACTGTTTATATTCCTTAAATTAGTACTTGAGACTGAGGCTTATATAAAGACATTACCAAGGTTATCAAGATTACACACAGACTGAAGAAATAAAGAGAGCACAAAGGGAGCACTGAGTGCTGAACTCGGGAGCATTCACAGTCAGGAGAGAGGGGAGTTAGAGGAAAGCTCAGGAAGGATTCGATAATTGACCTGGTGAGGCAGACAGACAGACTTGCCAAAGAAATAATTATCAATTATTTTGAAGATGCTCACAGGAGAAACCGAGCAGATGAGGGAGATAGGTGTGTGATTAAGAGCAGTGGAAGTCAAGTTTGTCTACATAGGGTTGACACAGGTCATACAGGTCTTGAAACCGGGCTAAAACTTGAGATCAGGAGCCACAGACCTCTGGGCATGGGAGTGAGGACAGTTGCACCTTGGCTGTAGGGGTCAAATCCATAACTTTCAGTTACTGGAGACTGATCATTTTCTATGGGTGTGTCCCAGGTAGAACTGCCAATTTGTGGCTCAAGAATAAGTTTAAGAATTGCAACCGACAGCCACAGGAGTCAGGTGAGCTACGATTCTTCAATAGAAGATGGTGTCCAAAAAAACAGAGATTCAAGAAAGTCCCTTCCCTGACCGAATGTGAATTCAGCGTCTTTTTTTTATTTTTCCTGGCTATGGGCCTGGTTAAGGAAGAAAAGTTGTGTATGGAAAGCTTCTACTATCTGCCAAACAAGAGTACACACCATTTGACTGACTCCTCACAACTCCACAAGTGAGCATTGCGATTGCCACGTAACACCAGATGCTGCTGGGGTGCAGAGAAGGTAGGCCATTTCCTCAAGGCCACACGGTGGATACGTGTTCAAGCCTGAATTCAAACGCCAGTTTCAGGGCCTTTAAACTCAGTGTTCTTTCCACTGCTACTGCCTGCCAGGGAGCCAAGTGCTACTGTTCTCAGTAGCTGTAAATACAGTCTCATAACAATAGTTATGCAGCCAAAATAGGATTCTAGCCACAAGTTCTGGTGTCTAGTTCCTTGCCACTTGAGAGATGAGAGTCTGCTCTACTCTTTTGGTAAAGGAAGCATAAAGACAGTGATTTGGAAGATGAAATGGGCAGGATTTCGGGAAAGAAAAAAAAAGGAAAGAAAGCACAATTTGACTAAAGACAAGCATGGCTGTATCTGGAAATGGAGGCTCTGCGTCACTGCCTCCTGACTCTCTGTAGAGAGTCCCCTGGGAACACACAGGGAACCATTACATACAGTACTTAGATTATCAGTAAGTGCTGGGTACAGCTCTGTGGTGGGCGTCTCTCTGAGTTGCTGAGGCAAGAGATAAGCTTGAGGCTCATTCAATTGTGAAATTGGTTAAAGGGGAGAAAACAAATACCACCCCTCATCCCATACACACGTGACTACCCAACGGCAGCAATCTCAGCAGGAAAAAGCGATTCTCCCGATATTGAAATTAACTCTTTTGTTACTGCTATCTGCTTCTCCCTGTATTTGAGCTACGCTTAAATAACTTTCGGAGAGATCAAGGTATTTCTAAAAGCAAATGCTTAATGGAGAGCCAAAGTACACAAAAGAGAATTTTAAAAATTATAATTAATACAAAGTCTGTAATTTAGTGAGCAGTAGTAATATACCAACGTTTACTTCATAGTTTTGGCAAATGTGCCGTGGCTATGTAAGATGTTTACACTTACAAAAAATAACAGACCATTTGGAGTATACCTTTGAAGTACACCTTTCATGAAGTAGCCCTACTATGGATTTCAGAATCTTAGAACTCAGGTTTAGAAAAGTGCTCTTTATACCTAATGAGCTGAGGTCTAGACTGGATGCACTACTTAATCAGAAAGTTACCACAAAATTCAACTTATTTCCTAACGTAGAATCTTATGCAACAGGAAACTGTTGTGGTAGCAAAGCACAGAGCATCCAGATCAATGCACTGATGCAACAGCTTCTCTAATCTACCTAGGACTTTGGCATTGTACTAATGACCTTAATTCTCAGGCATGTGCCAATATATATTCATACACACACATACACACATACACATACAGACACACACACACACTTTCTATTTAAAAGTACTCTGAAACTCTCTTGAATAAGATGGCTATTCATAGCTTTATACATTTCCTGCAATTCTTCTGATTATTATTTTTTAGACAGTTGACTTTTTCCTCTGTTGCAATTAGTTATTATTTTTAGCCTGGCACTATGCTTTTAGGAAAGAACTAGTTAAAGGGTTCTAAAAGAAGATAAGGATGGTAATGAGAGTGAAGTTAGTCTGTGTTGAATAGGACTTTAAAACCATATCTAAACATCGTAGTTTCCTTAAATACTTGGCATTAGAAAGAAGGCCATATATTTCAGTTTGCCTGAAATACTCCTGATATAGCCCTGCTATCCCAGCGTCCACTTACCCCCTCAAAACTGTTTCTCTTAGGATGATTAACTATATTAGCACCTAATTAAGGACGCAGTAATGACAATTCTTTATTTTACGCTAAGGAAAAAGTGATCCAATAGGATTAAAACATTTACCTGAGGCTACCCAGATATCTTAATGTTCAAGTCAGGTCCTAGAATCATCTCTGTAGAGGGTTAGGAAGCGCTCTTAATAGTGGATGAGGAGAGATGATAGACATCAGCTTTTAGGTGAGCACTTTGCGAAGATGCAAGCATGAGCTGCTCATCTTGGCTTGAAGGACACTCAACCAAGAAATTCAAACGGCTCCTCAATCAAGCCTAGAGGTGCTCTTAATACAATTGATGTCATCTTAAAAGTATCTGAATTGGAAGTACTTGCCAAATGCTACCTTAACTTGGCACTTATAAACAATTTTTTAAATATCAATTATGTAAAACTTAAAAGGGGTTTATTTCATGAGAGTAGGGGGAAGTAGTTACTCCTAATAGTGAATTAATTAGAAATTGCTTCCTCAAAAGCAGCTGTGTTTGCAGTTACAGAACCCCGCTCCCTGCTCTGTTCTCCTCCTCTGCTGCAAGTGATGTGAGTTGAGGAACATATGCCCAGTAAACGCACACAGACACAGAGCAATCTAGTCCTAGGGCTGGCTGAGTTCCAGTTCTTAGGAACTATCCACAGCAAGGCTGCCGTGTTAAATATGACTAAGCTCCTCCATATACAGCAGCCGTGATTGCAGAGAGCCCTTTGCAGCTGACCTTTAGATGAACTGAGCTACAATCAGTAGGAGAAAAATGCTAGGCCTTTCATACAACATAATGAAGTTTCTCTAATTTGTTTACTAGCAGTGCCCAGCAAGGACCTTCTCCCTACAGAAGGCTTTGGTGTGCAGAAATGAATCCAGGCAACTGCATATACTAGATTAGGATGCAAGATGTGCATATTGCAATGGGAGCAAGAGTCCTGGAAGACAAATCCCTCCTGTACTCTGCTGTCACTTTTGGGGTTATTGTCTAACTGGATGTTATTAATTCATTCTGCACTATGTATTAAACCACTAACATTGATAGCAATAGGCAACAAAAGTTTATGACTACTGGGCTTTTGGAAGGACTTTGAATGACTGCTAAGTAATTTTTAGGCTCACAGAAGCAACATTTCTTATCTTGCAAATTGTTAAGATTGTTTTTTAAACTTAAAGAGAAGAGTAGCACCTTTTTCTGTTTAATATCCACTGGTCTAAAATCAAGTTCCAGCATGAAATCAATGCATATTAATAAAGAGGCCAAAGACTGGAAATTCTATGAGTCATAGACTCTTATTTCTCCATTGATACCCTCTAAGGTTAAGTCACACACACACACACACACACACAAACTAGAGAACTCAGGTGCAAGTGCAAGATGAATTAGAGTAGATTCCATGTGTTTTTTAAGTTTAGTTGTCTTTTTGTTGTTGTGTATTTTTTTAATTTCCCCTTTGGAACTTGCCTAAAGAAAGCAGCATACATGGTCACTGTGAGGTTTACTGATGTTATGATGAAGGGTTAAGATGACTGAATGCTGAGATAAATGCTTTCTCAGCTACTAAAAGACAGAAGTATTGACGTATTCCAGATTACATTTTTTTTTTTTTCAGGAAAAATGCCACACCGTGGGCTTTTTGTACTGGTAAATTCTGGCCCACTTGATGGATAGCTTTGGCTGCCTATGCTCTAGGGTGGTGTTTCTCAAACTATTTGTTGTGAAAAATATTTTTTTTTTAAATTTTCGTTTCTTAAAGCATTGGTGCAAAAAAAACAAATGGCAAAGGAAGGATTACTAAAACATGAAAAATAGTACAATGAAATGCAAAATACAAGCCAAATATCTTAATTACTATAGATTCAACAGACATTAAAATACTTTGTCACATTGCTAGAGACGTTTTTAAATTTTTACTCTTAATTTCTGTGTTTATTGCATCGCATGGGGACACTTTTCCACAGACCACACTTTGAGTAGCACTGCCCCTTAACTAACAATGTTAAGTTTAATATCCACCTCTTTTTCCACTTTTTAGACCAGTAATTGGCATGCTTTTTCTGACAGGGTCTAGATAGCAAATATTTCTGGCTTTGCAGGCCATATGGTCTGTTACAACTGTAGCATGAAAGCATCCATAGACAATATGTAAATGCATGAGCATGGCTGTGTTCCAATAGAACTTTATTTACAAAAGCAGGCTGTGGGTCAGATTTGATCTATGGACTGTGAGTTTGCTGACCCCTACTTTAGCCTTAGGTGGTCTGAGCTATATTTCCCCATGTCCTAAACATTTGTGTTTTGTGTTTTCATAAAAGGATGTTTAGAATAGATTAAAACTGCTGCTGTGCATTTTAAACACATGTGATGCTTTCATTTTCTCACCTTTTGGAATTACTGTCAATAAAAATAAGTCCTACCATTTTAAAGATTAAAATATTTTGAAGGGAAGTCCACCACAATCAAGTGGCAGAGAGAAAACCCCAAACTAGAATCTCTGTACATGTAGACTTTCTTTCCTAAGGAAGCTGGGAATTTTAAGTATTAGCTAAGGGTCTTTGATTTTTCCTTGGAGATTCAACTCGAATATCACAACCTCTTTTATTCTGGCAACATTCTTCAGAATGTTTCTAAGTGGAACATTTTATGTGAGCGGTCCACTGCAAGGCCTATTAGACCCAGCAATCCCACCACCAGGTATCTACCCAAAGGAAAAGAAACCTTTATATAAATAAGACACCCACACTTGTATGTTTATCACAGCACTGTTCACAATAGTGAAGTCATGGAATCAATCTAAGTGTCCATCAGCGGCTGATTGGATGAAGAAAATCTAGTACATATATACCATGGAATACTATGCAGCCATACAAGAATCATGTCCTTTGCAGCAACTTGGATGCAGCTGGAGGCCATTGTCCTAAGTGAAATAACTCAGAAACAGAAATCAATTACTGCATGTTCTCATTTATAAGTGGGAGCTAAGCAACGGGTACACATGGACAAAGATGGAAATAATAGACACTGAGGCTTCAAAAGAGGGGAGGATTGAAGGGGATTTGAGGGTTGAAAAATTACCTATTGGGTACAATGTTCACTCTTTGGGTGATAGGTTCACTAGAAGCCCAAACCCCATCATTATTCAACATAGTCATGTAACAAACCTGCAAATGTATTCCCAGAATCTAAAATAATAATAATAATAATAAAGTGTCAACTTTTACCTCCCCAAGAACCCCTACCACTTATCAAATCAGAGTTGTCTGCTCAGATGTCCCCCAATCCTCACAGATCATGAGATCTTCAGGATAGATTTAAATCTCTTAAAAGGCTCTTTGTTATTCCTAATGTCTAACGTAGAACTGATAGAACTGGAAATACATGGAAGAAGACTTTACACATGTAACTAATATGTGTGTGTGTGTGTGTGTGTGTGTGTGTGTGTGTATGTGCGTGTATGTGTGCCTTTATGTCTCAGACTAAAATGTGAAGACAGACCTGAACTGAATCACCTCCAGGATAATTGCAAAACACCACTGACATTACATGCACAAAAATGTTTATCATTTATAACAAATTATGCAGATGTGCTATTATTATATCCTATTATGTACTTGTGGGAAGAAGATGGATCCAGATAAAATTAAAAGCAAAAATAAAGAGATGTGCACTATACGAATTATGGTATGAACTATATAACTGCTGTGGAGGCCAGAGTACAGGACTAAGGACAGTTGACAGGCACTGTGGTAAGTATTACCAGATAAGTCAGAGAAATTCACCATGGAATGGTGTGATCTGTGACAGAAACCAACCAGCCTTGCAAATATGCAAAAGGACAGGCTCTGGTGTTATATAGAATTATATCAGGATCGAGGCTTAATCCATTGCCTGTTTTATGACCTTAGGTAAGTCACTTAACCTTCCTGAGTCAGTCAGAATTATTAGGATTAAATAAAATAGCAGGAATCAGTATACACTCAATAAATGTTAGTTAATTTCATTATTAATGGAATATTGAGATTACTAGAATGAATTTTCACTAACAATGATGGTTACACTGTTATTAGAAGTATGAATTATAGTAAAAGGGGATGCACATGATGGTTGGTGTCCTAGTTCCTACTCTAAATCACAGAAGTCTATACTTGCTGGTCTGCATGGTCATGTGTGCTTATTTTTTAGCCTGTTTGTCATGAGTGGGTTTCTATCATTAACAAGATTCATAAGTGCATCATCCATGAACTTATGTGCTTGTGCCAGGAGACACAGGAGAGTCTACAACCAGCATTTACATCTCTGTGATTCAGACAGTAACATTGACGAGGAAAGGAAGGCCTGATCCCCAAGGCCAAGCAGAATCAGTGCCTGCTCTAAGGAGAGGCTCTGTGAGGGCCAAGGTATTTGTTTGCTGGTTCACAGCTCTATACACAGCACCTAGAATGGAAACTGACTCTCTAGAAATACTTTTGAATGAATTAATCAGTGAACAAAACTTGAACACCTGTTCCACGTGCCCTGCAAAGGTTCAGTATTTATTGATTGCATGAATATGCACATGTACCATTGAGAAAGCCTTCCATTTGTTAGTTCAGTTCTAAAATCTTCTCCCTTTCATCCCTCAACTTTTATATTACCTTCCAAGGAAGAGTTTGGTAGGCTCTTTCCTTACCTATTTTTGATGTCCCCTTAGTACATATTCCATCAACTCTAGGCCATATTTTAATAGTTAAGGTCAGTCCCAATTTTCTCTTCAAGTTATATACCCCATTTCTCCCTTAGATTCTCTAGCTTAATAGCACTTTTAACATTTCCCCCAAATCAACCCAATGTTTTCCTATGATTTTTAACCTCTTCTTAGGTGATTTCCTCCACCAGCCCTCATTTTGGTTACCTCTGTGGCTGAAGGTGTCAGCCAAGCCACGAGCCTCTGCTCAGAATCACTTCCTCCTCAAGTCTTCCCTGAAACTTACAAATGAGGTTTCCTCCTCAGGGTCTTCCGTAATTTGTCTGTTTCCTTCTTGAAGAATGTATCACTTCCCTATTTGTTACTGTTGAGTGTGTACGTACTGTGCCCCGTATCTGCCTGTAAGGTAACCCCAGCATCCTTGCCTTAGCCTGCATCTTCTTTAGTGCTGATCACTCAGTGTATGTTACCTAAATGAAGAAATAGAAGAATTTCAAATTTGAAAAGAAAGGCATTGAATTTCATATTTTAAAAATTCTCTCTTTCCTTTTCTACTCACCCTCTAACAACTCAACACCCAGGCAAATCGGCTTCACCTCCTACTACAAATGTCCTGTGGTCTGAATGAATTAGTCCCTTTGCATGAGTGACAGCTCCACAGCATCCTCCTTTGAATCCACCAGAGACTCTGGCCTGTTACCCTTTAGGAAGATTAGAAGATTTGGGAAAGTTCTCTGTGTGTGTTTGTGTGAGCAAAAGCCAGCCCAATCTCATATGAATATGTCCCAGCCTCTGCTTCTGCCTCACAGTTACCTGACTCCATTCCTGGTACAGGAAATGCAACCAGTTGAGCTTTTTAAAAAATGACTTTTTGAGACTTTCTCTATGCAGCATTATCCATTTCCAGGATATGCCTAGGTGATTTTTAACCTTTTTAAAAGAGGTGGATTGAAATATACAGGTATTCCAACAAATTCCAGAAAGAACAAGGCCTGATAACCTACTCCTGTTTCCTAAGATTCAGGGTGAGATGACCTGAATCATGGGGACATGGCTGGCTTTGAACAAATTCCAGGTGTAAGAAATGAGACTAATGAGAATAAAATTACTGATTCATCCTTAGTAATTTGATTCCATTCAAAATTTTGTGTGAGACACTTTTGGTGACAACAACACAAAGCATGTAGATAGCCATTCTGTTGAATATAGAAAGCCAAAATTACTTTGTCTTGTTTGAAATATCCAATATGCAGAGGTGATATCTTTCTGGATTAAAAAGAGAAATGGAATTTCACTTTAATCTCTGGATTTAAAAGAGGTAGATTGAAATATACAGGTATTCCAACAAATTCCAGAAAGAACAAGGCCTGATAACCTACTCCTGTTTCCTAAGATTCAGGGTGAGATGACCTGAATCATGGGGACATGGCTGGCTTTGAACAAATTCCAGGTGTAAGAAATGAGACTAATGAGAATAAAATTACTGATTCATCCTAGTCTGTGATTCATCCTTCTTATTGGAGTTACCCTCTCTCACACCACAAATGGCTGGACAGGGACTCAGTATGGCAATGCTGCCACAGACATCACTAATGAACACAGCAATCACGTTTTATTGGGAGGTGGAGCTTATACAGCCCTTTTGGGACTGTGGTTCTTCTTTCTTGATCCCCCAAGCTACCTGAACACTAGCACCTGTGCACAAGTATAGGGAACTTCTATTGACTCTCTCTCACACTACAGACCCTGGGAACTGCATCTAGGCCTGCTCACTTCTCACAAAGTGTCTGTACTTCAGCTTTCTGGGAGTTTATCTAAATCCAGAGTGGTAAAATAGGATGGTGAGGAAAAAAATTTTAGGAAATGGTTCATCAGATTCATCAGGTAATATTTCTTCTTGGAAATCTTGGTATTTCTTGATGGCAAGTGATTTTGAAACATGACGTGAGGCACAAAAGTCTCTATTAATTTCTCTCATGGTACATGTTAGACTGGTTTGAATACAGAAACAATTGAATTACTTACATATTTATTTATTATTATTCATTTACTACTTTAAAACCAGGTGTATCAGTAAGAAGGGTTTGTTGTACGTATGTATAAATCAGCGATTTTGTTGCCAACCCCTGGGGACTTGTACTTTTGGAAACTGTTTGCAATGTCGAGGGAGGAAGCATTTCAGACAGTCTGAGAAGTTGATAGCTGAGGAGGAGTACCTGCTAATAATTCTGTCCTTCTGGGAAGTGTGAAGTCTAGAAGAAAAAGAAAGATCAAGGGTGGGCTGAATCTGAGAAGAGAACAGATGGGCCATGGTTATGCCTGCCAGAGGCATGGGCAGAAAGAAATGAAAAACTGTTCCTGCTCTCTTTCCCCTCCAAACAGGGAACACGTACACCAGAGCTCAATGTGGGTTGGGGCAGATGGGATGCTTAGAGAAAAAGGTTGGCAGTGCCTTCTCCAGAAGAAGAGGAGGCAGTCCCATGGACCTTATTTCCTCTGAAACTGGAGCTAGCCTCTGCTCTGCATCTTGGCGATCAGAAATGAAAGCTTCTCAGGAAAGCAGCTATTAAGTATCTGAAAACATTACTCACAGCATGTCCCATACCCTAGGAATTATTTCTGATTTGGAAAGAGTTCTTTGTTTCAATGCTTTATTATAGGTAGTGCCTTTTAGTTTTTCACTAATGGAAGTTGCTGTGATATAGGACAGCCCTGTATCTAAAGTTTGGTCTCAAGACCAGAAGCATCAGCATCGCCAGTGAACCTGTTTGAAATGTAAATCCACGGAATCAGAAACACTGGGAGCAGAGTGCCCTATCTGTGCTTTAAAGTACCTTCCAGGTGATTCTGATGCAGGCCGAAGATTGAGAACTACTGTAAGGAGAGTGTAGAGGAGGGGGCTCTCAGTTAAAGTTTTGTATCACCCCTTTAGTGGTGCTGTGATTTTACGTAGATTACTCACACTCATCAAAGCCCATTGCTCCTGGCTGTTGAGAAGATTAAATGAGGTAATGAGTGTGCAAATGCTGGAACAATAGAAAGTGCAAAAACTTTCTAAGCAAACATCTGTTTGTAAGAAATGGGTGTAGGGAGAGAGAAAGAGAAACTGACTCTATAGTAGCCACACAAGTCTGTTTGACTGAGAAAAGTAATATTCTTTGTTCCTTCCTGTTTCCTAGCCTCCTTTGCAGTGAGGCTGACGCATGGTGACTGGCCAATGGCTGTGAGTGGAAGTGATATATGTCTGTACCAGCCAGAGGCAGTTAGAACCAGGGTAATTCTTCCATTCTTTTGGGGCAGTTAGAACCAGGGTAATTCTTCCATTCTTTCATTTCTCTTCCATAAGGCATACATCCTGTCCTATCAGACTCTCTATGAGCCAGGAATAAACTTTTACTGTGTTCAGCTACTGAGAGATTTCAGGAGTGAAACATTGTAGCAGCTAGCATAGATTATTTGGGTCAGCAATGTAGAAAAAATGCACTGAGAAAGAGATTAAGACTGACAATGAGGTATAGCTGATTTGTAGAAAGAATGATACTGCCTGACTATTGATAAAAGGAAGCAGACAATCGGCCATGTCTTCATCTCCGTAAGTCCTGGGAAGAAGACAGAGATCCCTGAAAGACTTAATACCAAAAGAAGGATAGATGATTTTCTAGTGCATTATTATCTAATTGATGCCTGTGAACATGACCAATTTAGACAGATATTCTACATTCTTTGGTTGTAGAGCGGGAAAAGCGTGGAGTGGCTTGAGCTTGCTTCCCACAATAATCCTAGGATTCTGTTAAAGAACAACTCTATCTCAAGACTCCTAACGGATTGTCTACCTTTCTTTGTGTAACATTAACCCAGTATCTGTAATGCAGTCCTTCTCCTTTGCACTCACAAGCACACACAAAAGAATTCGGCCGGGCGCAATGGCTCACACCTGTAATTCCAGCACTTTGGGAGGCCGAGGCGGGCAGATCACCTAAGATCAGGAGTTCAAGGCCAACCTGGCCAACATGGTGAAACCCCATCTCTACTAAAAAAAATACAAGAATTAGCTGGGCGTGATGGCAGGTGCCTATAATCCCAGCTACTTGGGAGGCTGAGGCAGGAGAATCGCTTGAACCCAAGAGGCAGAGTTTGCAGTGAGCCGAGATCACACCACCACACTCCGGCCTGGGTGACAGAATTAGACTCTGTCTCAAAAAAGAAAAAAAAAAAAAAGTAAGAATTCTACCAATGATGATCTAGCTCTTCTCCCTTTTTTCCTTCAAGTTCAATGTCTTAGTAATACTCTGAATGCTCTACTATTCTAACTTTCAGTTGTGCAGAACCACTGATGTGTTACTGAATGTAACTGGCCCTTTCTAACATTAGTGTATCCACCTGTACTGTTTGACTCCATCCTTAGCCAAAGCTGACTCATTCTTATCTTTCAGAGGCCAGGTTCTGAAATCACTTGTTTCAGGAAATCTCTGGCTCTCTAATCCTGGATAAGTTGGTCTTCTTATGTGATCCCTGAAGAAAGATATTTACTCTTCCATTGAGGAGAGTAAATAGAATGGCAGCTTCTACTGAATATAGGAATGGAGTCAGTTAGAAGAGATCTTTCCTTTCAAAATTTCGTGTTAGACACTTTTGGTGACAACAACACAAAGCACGTAGATAGCCATTCTGTTGGACATAGAAAGCCAAAATTACCTTGTCTTGTTTGAAATATCCAATATGCAGAGGTGATATCTTTCTGGATTAAAAAGAGAAATGGAATTTCACTTTAATCTCTGGATTTAGAAGAGGTGGATTGAAATATACAGGTCCTCCAACAAATTCCAGAAAGAACAAGGCCTGATAACCTACTCCTGTTTCCTAAGATTCAGGGTGAGATGACCTGAATCATGGGGACATGGCTGGCTTTGAACAAATTCCAGGTGTAAGAAATGAGACTAATGAGAATAAAATTACCTTGAGTCAAGGGAGAGTTAAGGTTGGTTTCCTAAGCTCGACATAAAGGCCAGTTTGGTATTAAGGCATGGTGCTATGGCATGGAAATAATGAAAAGGCTTTTCATTCTTAGAACTCCTGGAATAGTAAATATAAGCTAAATAGCTTTAATCTTGGGAATTTATATTTGTAGCACCTTTGAAAGTAAAAGATAGAATATGTGAGTTCACGTCCTTTCATTAAAAGACAACTGCATCCTAGACTGAGAAGCCTCCCAGAAACACAGTATAGACTTCCTATGAGCTTTGTTGGCTTTGTAGTCAACAACTTGCAATGTTCATAATAGATTGATCAAGATAGTTATTGTTGCTCTTCACTAAAGGAGTGGCAGTAATTTGGAAAGAATAAAACACTCAAAGGGAGACACTAGACACGTTCAAACAAGGCATTGGCTTATAACAAATAATTGAATAACTGAATTCATAAATAAATAAATACATACTTACATTCATGTATACATATATATTTAGATGGAATGTAAGTATATATTTAGATGGAAGGTACGTATATTTGTACCAGAATTTGTGGAGCAGCCCAAAGAAGGAGACTTCTATTAAAGTAGTTATTATACTCAATTGTAGCTTTTACTTATTTATTTATTTTAAATTGAAGTTTCAGGTACAGAAAGTTAATTATCTTTTGAATTCATACCATGAAATATTTTACCCCTACTCTAATTCTACCCCCACATTAGTATCCTTTCTAATTTTTAATATGCGTCCTTGGTTTTATCCTAGATGAACATGTAGTGTTCTGTGTATATGTGTATTTTATAGAATTCATAATGTAATAGTCAACACTATGTCTTGAAGCATTATCTATGTTTTTCTTATAAATGTAAATGAATGTTTTCATTTCTCCTGATCCTTATGAACACTTGGAATTGTTCAACTTAAAAAATATAATGGAAGTAAATTTGATATTTTCTTCTATGTTTTAATTTTTCTTGCCTTTTTACATCTTAATCACATATTTTAATATTATTATTGTACTTTTCCCCTTTAATAAATTGGGTTAGTTTTTATTATTACTTTCTTAGTTACCCTAAAGATCAAACATGCATTTTTGATTTATTACAGTCTAATATACATTATTACTTTTGCCACTTTCTCAACAATGCTAAAACTTCAAATAAGTTAACTTCGTTTATCTACTCCGGTGTTTTATGTTACTATTATTACAAATTTAATTCCACATGTGTTTAAAAACATAAAATATAGTTTTTGGATAAATTTCATTTATATTTACCTATGTAGTTTTCTGTCTTCCAAAATTGTTCTTGAGATATATACAAACCTTACTGCTGTTATACTTTTGAAGGCAGTCCTCTCTCCAAATGTCACTGTTTTGAGATTGCTCATTTTTTTTTTTCTGTAGATTGTAAGAGCTTTACTTTGTGTATTGGTGTGATTTTCTTTGCATTTATTTTGCTGGGGATTTGCAGAGCTTCATGAAACTTCATGAAATTGTAGATTGATTTCTTTTTTAATTGTCCATCCAGTATTTCCTCAAAGATTGCTTTTTCCCATTTCATATTCTCTTTCTGTGACTCTAGTCTTGTGATTCCAATTACATGAAATTTTTAAATGTACTGTATTTTATATTTTTGTCACAAGTTCTTATGTATTTTCCCTTTTTGTCCCCAATTATTTCTAGTGACTTAATTTCCAAGTCACAAATCCTCTCTCCTGCTGTGTCTAATGGGGCTAAACCCATTTAATAGTTCTTGATTTTGTTTACTGTGGTTTTTTTTCAGTTTTATAATACTCATTAGATTATTTTTACAGATTTAGTCTGTGATAAAACTCTCTTTTTTCCAACTATTTTATTTTACCATATATCGAACATATTAATCTTAGTTACTTTAAATTTCATTATCTATTAACCCCAATGTCTGGGTAAACTGTGAGTCTATTTCTAGTATTTTCTTTATCATACTGGGTTTTGGTAATTTAGTTCTGTCTTGCAGTATGCCCAGTAATTATAATTGAATAATCAGTATTGTAATGAAAGCATTATAGGTGATTTGGATGATACTACCTTTTCCAAGAGAAAGTTTACCCTTTTTCTGTTAGGCAGATATACTGAGATCCTATTCATATAAATTCTTAGGAAATAAGTTTAGTTGAGGCTAACTTGAATTTTAGGTAAGTCTCTTCTACTTGTGATATATTGTCTCTCTCAGGGCATATCCTGTGGTGTTGACCAGCCATTTCCTCTATGGGTCCTTTGTTTCCTCAACACCAAAGGCTGCCAATCCTCAGCTTTGTTTCTCAGAAGTTTTTTCTTAACGCCTTGTAACGCGCAACTTAAGAATTTGGCAAATATATATTTGTAAGTCACAGTGATATTCTCCTACTTTCTCAACAAAATTTTAGCTCCTCAAGTATATCGGTTTTTAATTTTTATTAGTTTGTTTGTTAACTTTGGCTTTTCTCACTGATTTCTTTAAAGTTCCAGTTATATACTGGTTTCTCTGCCTTTAGTAACAGATGCTCTCTCTGGGCCCTTTGCAGATTCTTAGCTTCTTGCCTAGTATCCGGAATTCGCAAAGGCCCCAAGTTTAAAATATGCGGTTACTGAATGTTGTTTACCTTTCTGAAGTGTTCTCTTCAGTTAGATCCTACCTTCCTCAATTCCTGCCTAGAAATTTTTTAATATCTTAAATCAGATTGTCTTTTCTATCATATCTATCTGTCCTAGTTGATCTTGGTGACAGCATTATTCAGCCAGAAACTACCTTTATACTTCTTAGCTGGAAAAGACAGTTTTCTCCTTGTTAATTTGTAGTCCTCTGTTTTCTAGTGAAGTTATGCATCAAGTTATATACTGGATGGCCAATTAAATATTACAATTTATCTATTATCCATTCTTATTATTTCTGTTTCATATAGTATTTAAGTCCTTCCCTATGCCAAGGGCCCCCTTTGCTATTCTCCAGTGTTCTCCATGGTTAACTTCATTATTATGCCTTTACCATTTAGAAGGATTTAGGCAACAAAGAGTAGCTGTGAAAAGTATAAAACTTAGATCTTGGTCTCTAGTACAATTCTCTAATAAAGGAAACTAGGTCTTTTTTTTTTGGATAAATCATTGGTTTTATGACTGAAATAGAAAATATTCAAAATGAGCTTGAAGCATCTTATAATGCCAGAAAGTAAAAAAAGTGCTCAAAAAAAATAATAATGAAGGTATGTTGAAGGAAAACAGGCATTAATGGAAACAGCTTCAAAATGGCCAAAACTTGAAAACTGTAGACCACAAAATAGAGTAGTATTAAATTATAACCCAACGTATAAAAGAATTTTCCCTGAGTCTGTTGCTGATAAAAATAAATTGTTGAATAAATAAGTAAATGTGATTAATTGGCAAGTCCCTCATGCAGAAGAATTCCATGTAATCAATGTAGCTATTCTCCCAGTAAGGAGGTGGAGCATAGCACCCCACTCCTTATGTGTAGATGGCACACAGTGACTTCCTTACAAAGAGTATGATATGAAAAGTGGGTGGGGGGGGGCGGGGGAGAGTAACTGTACCATGGGGGAAAATGACAAATACTACCTCAGCCATACAAAGAGATTAATGTAAACAACAATGTCATGTCTACAGTAGGCACTCATGATATGATGAGAACAACACTTTACATCTATGCTCTTCCTCCAAAAACACACATCACCCCAATCTAATCATGAGAAAAATACCAGATAAAACCAAATTGAAAGACATTGCATAAAATATGTGGCCAGTACTCCTAAAAACCGTGAAAGTCCTCAAAGTCAAGGAAAATCTGAGATTCTAAGAGACCGTCTCATTCAAGAAATACCAAAAGAGATACAGCAGGTAAATATAATATGATTTCTTATGGTATCCAGCGATTTTGATACATAAAAAATACAGAAAAACTAAGGGATTCTGAATAAAATACAGATATTACTTGTAATCCATTGATGTAGGTTCATTAATTGTGATAAAAGTTCCATACTAATATAAGATGTTAATAAGAAGGGAAACTAGGCATGTCATAAATTAATTCTCTGTACTATATTACAACTTTTCTGTAAAATTACAGCTTCTAAAATAAAAGTGAATTAAAAAACAGCAAACAACAACAACAACAACAAAAATGGGCCCCGGAGTCAGACTGCCTGGATTTGAATCTTCATTTCTTTATTGGCTATATATGTGATTTATTTTCTTGGTTGCAAAACTTTAATTTATTAGGTTATAAAATAGTGATAATAGTAAGTATGTATTAATTTCAGGAATATTAGTTCCTTAAATAGAAATAGTTTCAAATTTTGGCTATACATAGACACACACACACACACACACACACACACTTCTCACTTACTTGGTTAAATACAAGCACTTCTGTTAGTAACATCCGTAAAATCATGACTCAGTAAACCAGTTTTTTTTCATCTTGTGGCTCCACTATGTTCAACTTGTTCATTTCAAGTGAAGAATGAATAACACATAGTAGTTACTAAAATCTCTATGTGCTTTGAAAAAAGTCCTCTATAATAGGTATGGGGGTTTTTAGAAGATTAGATCTTGGTTCTGGTATCTGAGCAGAATGTCTTTGTCCAATGCTCTGGCAAAGATCATATGAGAGAATAAGAACAAACAGGTGCCTGGCATTCACACAGGGATGAGAATAGTGCCTGTTTTCATCAGCCATACCAGAAAAATGCATGGGATTGGGTAGAATACTCAGGAAGATCTTGCCTAGGTAGTGTAGAGAAAATAGACCTAGACTAATTAGCAAATCTTAAAAGCAAGACCCAAAAGAACTAATTTATATATATATATATATATATATATATATATATTATTATACTTTAAGTTCTAGGGTACATGTGCGCAACGTGCAGGTTTGTTACATATGTATACATGTGCCATGTTGGTGTGCTGCACCTATTAACTCATTCATTTACATTAGGTATATCTCCTAACGCTATCCCTCCCGCCTCCCCCCACCCCATGACAGGCCCCAGTGTATGATGTTCCCCTTCCTGTGTCACACATACACACGTATGTTTATTGCAGCACTACTCACAATAGCAAAGACTTGGAACCAACCCAAATGTCCAACAATGATAGGCTGGATTAAGAAAATGTGGCACATATACACCATGGAATACTATGCAGCCATAAAAAATGATGAGTTCCTGTCCTTTGTAGGGACATGGATGAAGCTGGAAACCATCATTCTCAGCAAACTATTGCAAGAACTAAATTGTTTTGAAGTAACTACATCCAAAGAAAAAAAACTCAGTGATATTTATAGAAATAAAAAAAATCAAGTACCAAATAATGTAAAAGCACAACATCTGATGCTCAATCAAACATTACCAAATATGCAGAAGAGAAAAACACAACTCCTAATGAGGAGAAAATCAATTGAAACTGGAGCAGAAGTGAAATGGATGTTATAAGAAGTGAATACAGATGTTAGAAAAGTCATTAGAACTATATTTTAGAGGTTCAGAAAGTTACATAGAGACAGGATAGTTATACAAAATCAAACTTCTAAAGTGGAAAGTACAATATTTGAGATTAAAAGTACGGATGAGATTAATGACACATTAGGTGTTACAAATGAAAGAGTAATAAACTTGAACACATAGTAATGTAAACTATCCAAAGTAAAATAAAGAGAAGAAAAATAATCTTTAAATGTACAGGACATTAATAAGCTGTGTAATAGCTTTAAGTGGCTATATAAATGTACATGATTTTAATATATTCTATATAAAAATAATTATATAATCTATATTACAACATAGATAATATGTAATATTATTACATAATATATAATATAATAACATTGTATATATATACACACACATATGTATATGACTAAATAATTGTAATCTCTTAAAAGAGCCAGGGCAGAAACACTATTGTAGAAATACTGGCTGATATTTTATAAAGTTGAAGGAAATTGTAAATCCACAGGCCGAAGAAGTTCAATGAATTGTTTATAATACAAGTGTAATAAAGACAGCTGTACAAACACAACATAATAAAATGACTGAACAGTGATACGGACTACATTATAAAGATAGCCAGGAAGTGGAGGAAGGCAGCATGTTACATACAGAGCAGTAAAGATGGGGATTACAGTATATTTCTCATCAGAAACAATGCAAGTGACAAGAAAGTAGAGAAAAAAACTTTAAAGCGGTAAAATAAAATATGTTCACCCTATGCATCCAGTGAAAATATTTTTCAAAAGTAAACAGGAAATACTTTTTCATAAATAGAAATGGTAAAAAAACGTATCATCAGAAGATGTGCATAACAAGAAATATTAAAGGTAGCTCCTAAGGCAAAGGAAAATAACACCAGATGAAAATAGGGATCTTCACCAACAGACAGAAACACTGAATATGGTAAAGATATAGGCAACTATGTATATATGTGTGTATGTGCATACATATATATGTGTGTCATCTATAGCTCTTTAGAATATTTATATCTGTGTTTTTAAATTTCTTTGAAAGATCATTGTTTAAACAAAAATAATAGCAAAGTCATGGGGATTTGTTAAAGGTGACAACACTGCAAAAAATTCAGAAGGGACAAAAATAGAAGTATAGCATTTTAATATTCTTTTATATAAAGTGGCATAACATCAATTAAATTATAAAGTTATAAATTGTCATAAATTAATGGTATGTAACATAAATTCTAAATCAACTACTGAAACAAAACAGGGTTGTAGCTGAGAAGCAGCAAAATATATTAAATTGAATTATTACACATCTGTTAATACAAAAGAAAGCAGAAAATGGAGAAAATGGAATAGAAAAATGGAATTAAAAAATGGGAAAAGTTGAAAACAAGTGGCAAGATGAGTGACTCAAACCTCACTACATCCTGGCTATTGTATTACAGGTAGGTGGTCTAAACTTCCGTATTAAAGGCAAAAATTGTCATTTTAATTGGAAACATTAAATTCAACTGTATAACTTACATGCTGTATGCAAATAAAGTATTTTAAACACAGAGTCACAAATAGGCCAAAAAGTAAAAGGATAGGAAATATATACTTTACTGACATTAGTTTTAAAAAGAAACTAGAGTGGCTATGTTAATATCAGACAAAGTAGAATTCAGGGCAAAGAATATTTCTTAGGATAAAGAAGGTCATTTTATACTGATAAAGGTGTCAATTCATCCAAAGGACATAACATTCATAAATGTTTATGTACCTAATAACAGATCTTCAAAATTCATGAAGCAAAAACTGATGTAAGTGCAAGGAGAAAGAAACAAAACTAAATTATAGCTCAAGAGCTCAATAACCCTATGTTCATAATTGGTAGAACAAGTAAATACAAAATCATCAAGCATATACAAGACTTAACAATATCAACCAACTTACATCAGAACACTTATATCAACAACAGAATGTGCATTCTTTTCAAGAGCACATGAATATTTACTGAAATAGACCATATTCTAGGACACAAAAAAATGGCTCAATAAATTTAGGAGAATCCAAGTTACACAAAGTATGTTCTCACACCACAATCACATTAAATTAAAATTAATAATAGAAGTTTCTCTGGAAGATCCTCAGGCATTTTAGAACTATATAACACACTTCTAAATAATCTAGGGATCAAAGAAGAGGGAAATTAGAACATATTTTAAACTGAATGACAGAGTCCATTTTACCCCCCTGCCACCTCCACCAGAACAGGTGCTTGTATCCACGGCTGAGAAACCCACAGATGGTTCAAATAACAGGACTCTGTGCAGACAACCCCCAGTACCAGCCCAGAGCCTGGTAGACTTGCTGGGTGGCTAGATACAGAAGAGAGATAACAATCACGACAGCTCTGGTCTCAGGAAGCCACATCCCTGGGAAAAGGGGGAGAGTTCTATATCAAGGGAACACCCTGTGGGACAAAAGAATCTGAAGAACAGCCTTCAGCCCTAGATCTTCCCTTTGACAGAGGCTACCCAAATGGGAAGGAACCAGAAAACCAACTCTGGTAATATGACAAAACAAGGTTCTTTAACATCCCCCAAAATCACACTAGCTCACCAGCAATGGATCCAAACCAGGAAGAAATCCCCGATTTACCTGAAAAAGAATTCAGGAGGTTAGTTATTACGCTGATCAGGTAGGCAGCAGAGAAAGGTGAAGCTCAAAGTAAGGAAATCAAAAAAAGGATACAAGAAGTGAAGGGAGAAATATTCAATGAAATAGCATAAAAAAAAAAAACAATCAAAACTTCAGGAAACAATAGACACACTCATAGAAATGCAAAATCCTCTGGAAAGTCCCAGGAATAGAATCAAACAAGTAGAAGAAAGAAATTCAGAGTTCGAAGACAAGGTCTTCAAATTAACTCTATCCAACAAAGACAAAGAAAAGAAAATAAGAAAACATGAAGAAAGCCTCCAAGAAATCTGGAATTATGTTAAATGACCAAACCTAAGAATAATCGGTGTTCCCGGGGAAGAAGAGGAATCTAAAAGTTTGGAAAATATATTTGGGGGAATAATCGAGGAAAACTTCCCCAGCCTTGCCAGAGACTTAGACATCCAAATACAAGAAGCACAAAGAATACCTAGGAAATTCATCACAGAAAGATCATCATCTAGGGACATCGTCATCAGGTTATCTAAATTTGAGACAAAGGAAACAATCTTAAGAGCTGTGAGACAAAAGCAGCGGGTAACCTATCAAGAAAACCTAACAGATTAACAGCAGATTTCTCATTAGAAATCCTTCGAGCTAGAAAGGATTGGGATGCTATCTTTTGTCTCCTCAAACAAAACAATGATCAGCCAAGAATTCTGTATCCAGCAAAACTAAGCTTCATATATGAAGGAAAAATAGTCTTTTGCAGACAAACAAATGCTGAGAGAATTCACCACTACCATGCCACCACTACAAGAACTGCTAAAAGGAGCTCTAAATCTTGAAACAAAGTCTGGAAACACGTCAAAAGAGAACCTCTATAGAGCATAAATCACACAGGACCTATAAAACAAAAATATAATTTAAAAGACAAAAACAAAAAACAAGAAACCAAGGTATAGAAGCAACAAATAGCAGTATAAACAGAATAGTACCTCACATCTCAATACTAACATTGAATGTAAATGGCCTAAATGTACACTTAAAATATACCAAGTTGTGGAATGGATAAGAATTCACCAATCAACTATCTGCTGCCTTTAAGAGACTTACCTAGCACATAAGGACTCACATAAACTTAAGGTAAAAGGGTGGAAAAATACATTTCATGCAAATGGACACCAAAAGTGAGCAGGAGTAGCTATTGTTATATCAGACAAAACAAACTTTAAAGCAACAGCATTAAAAAGATAGAGGGACATTATATAATGATAAAGGCCAACAGGAAAATATCACAATCCTCAACATGTATGCTCCTAACGCCGGAGGTTCCAAATTTATAAAACAATTACTAATAGACCTAAGAAATGAGATAAACAACAACACAATAATAGTGGGGGACTTCAGTACTCCATTAACAGCACTAGACTGGTCATCAAGACAGAAAGTCAAGAAAGAAACAATGGATTAAAACTATACCCTCGAACAAATGGACTTAACAGACATATACAGAACATTCCATCTAGCAACTGCAGAATATACATTCTATTCAGTGGCGCATGGAACTTTCTCCAAGAGAGATCATATGATAGGCCACAAAATGAGCCTCAATAAATTCAAGAAAATTGAAATTTTTCAAGTACTCTGTCAGACCACAGTGTAACAAAACTGGAAATCAACTCTAAAAGGAACCTTCAAAACCATGCCAAAACATTGAAATTAAATAACCTGCTCCTAAATGATCACTGGGTCAAAAATCAAATCAAGATGGAAATTAAAAAATTATTCAAACTGAACAACAATAGTGACACAACCTATCAAAACCTCTGGGATACAGCAAAAGCAATGCTAAAAGCAAAGTTCATAGCCCTAAATGGCTACATCAAAAAGTCTGAAAGAGCACAAACAGATAATCTAAGGTCACAACGCAAGAAACTAGAGAAACAAGAACAAACCAAACCCAAACCCAGCAGGAGAAAGGAAATAACCAAGATTAGAGCAGAACTAAATGAAACTGAAACAAACAAACCAATACAAAAGATAAATGAAACAAAAACTGGTTCTTTGAGAAGATAAATAAAAGTGATAGACCATTAGCAAGATTAACCAAGAAAAGAAGGGAGAAAATCCAAATGACTGCAATAAGAAATGAAACAGGAGATATCACAACTGACACCACAGAAATACAAAAGATCATTCGAGGCTACTATGATCACCTTTATGCACATAAACCAGAAAACCTAGAAGAGACGGATAAATTCCTGGAAAGATACAAGCTTCCTAGCTTAAATCAGGAAGAATTAGCTACCTTGAATGGGCCAATAACAAGCAACGAGATTGAAATGGTAATTAAAAAATTACCAACAAAAAAAGGCTAGGACTAGATGGATTCACAGCAGAATTCTACCAGACATTCAAAGAAGGCTTGGTACCAATCCTATTGACACTATTCCACAACATAGAGAAAGAGATAACCCTCCCTAAATCATTCTTTGAAGCTAGTATCACCCTAATACCAAAATCAGGAAAGGACATAACCAAAACAGAAAATTACATACCGATATCCCTGATGAACATAGATGCTAAAATCCTTAACAAAATACTAGCTAACAGAATCCAACAACATGTCAAAAAGATAATCCACCATGCTGAAGTGGGTTTCATACCAGAGATTCAGGGATGGATAACATATGCAAGTCAATAAATGTGATACACCACATAAACAGAATTAAAAACAAAAATCACGTGATCATCTCAATAGACGCAGAAAAAGCATTCAACAAAATCCGCCGTCCATTTATGATTAAAACTTGCAGCAAAATTGGCATAAAAGGGACATACCTCCATCTATGACAAACCCATAAACATAATACTGAATGGGGAAAAGTTGAAACTATTCGCTCTGAGAACTTTAACGAGACAAGGTTGTCCTCTCTCACCACTCCTCTTTAACATAGTACTGGATGTCCTAGCCAGAGAAATCAAACAAGAGAAAGAAATAAAGGGCATCCAAATTAGTAAAGAGGAAGCCAGACTGTTTCTGTTTGCTGATAATATGATCGTCTACCTAGAAAACCCTAAATACTCCTCCAAAAAGCTCCTAGAACTGATAAAAGAATCCAGCAAAGTTTCTGGATACAAAATTAATGTACACAAATCAGTAGCTCTTCTACACACCAACAGTGACCAAGGTGAGAATCAAATCAAGAACTCAACCCCTTTTACAATAGTTGCAAAAAAAATAAAATAAAATACTTAGGAATATAACTAAACAAGGAGGTGAAAGACCTTTACAAGGAAAACTAAGAGACACTGCTGAAAGAAATCATAGACAACACAAACAAATGGAAATACATCCCATGCTCATGGATGGGTAGAATCAATATTGTGAAAATGACCATCCTGACAAAAGCAATCTACAACTTCAATGCAATTATCATCAAAATACCACAATCATCCCTCACAGAATTAGACAAAAACAATTCTAAAATTCATATGGAACCAAAAAGAGCCTGCATAGCCAAAGCAAGACTAAGCAAAAAGAACAAATCTGGAGGCATCACATTGCTGAATTTCAAACTATACTATAGGGCCATAGTCTCCAAAACACCAAAACAGCATGGCACTGGTATGAAAATAGGCACAAATACCAATGGAACAGAATGGAGAACCCAGAAATAAACCCAAACACTTACAGCCAACTGATCTTAGATGAAGCAAACAAAAACATAAAGTAGGGAAAGGATACCCTATTCAACAAATGGTGCTGGGATAATTGGCTAGCCACATGTAGAAGAATGAAACTGGATCCTTATCTTTCACCTTATACAAAAATCAACTCAAGATGGATTAAGGACTTAAATCTAAGACCTGAAAATATAAAAATTCTATCAATTAACATTGGAATAACCCTTCTAGACACTGGTTTAGGCAAAGATTTTATGACCAAGAACCCAAGAGCAAATGCAATAAAAACAAATATAAATAGGTAGGACTTAATTATAACTAAAGAGCTTTTGCACAGCAAAAGTAGTAGCAGAGTAAACAGACAACCCATAGAGTGGGAAAAATATCTTCACAGTCTATACATCTGACAGAGGGCTAATATCCAGAATCTACAACAAGCTCAAACAAACCAACAAGAAAAAAATCCTCTCAAAATTGGGCTAGGGACATAAATAGACAATTCTCAAAAAAAGATACACAAATGTCCGACAAACATATGAAAAAATGTCCAACATCACTAATGATCAGTGAAATGCAAATCAAAACCACAGTGAAATACCACGTTACTCCTGCAAGAATGGCCATAATCAAAAAAATTTTTTAAAAAGTAGAGTTGGCATGGATGCAGTGAACAGGGAACAGTTTTACACTGCTGGAGGGAATGTAAACTAGTACAACCACTACGAAAGACAGTATGGAGATTCCTCAAAGAACTAAAGGTAGAACTACCATTTGATCCAGCAATCCCACTACTAGGTATCTACCCAGAGGAAGAGAAGAAGTCATTATGAAAAAGATACATGAACACACACGTTTATAGCAGCACAATTCACAACTGCAAAAACGTGGAACCAAGACAAATGCCCATCAATCAATGAGTGGATAAAATGTGAGATATATATATATATCTCACATATATATATATATCACATATATATATCACACACACATATATATCACATATATATATCATATATATATATATATATATACATATATATATATACACACATAAAGGAATACTACTCAGCCATAAGAAGGAATGAATTAATGACATTCACAGCAACCTGGATGAGATTAGAGACTATTATTCTAAGTGAAGTAACTCAGGGGTGGAAAACCAAACATTATATGTTCTCACTCATAAGTGGGAGCTAAGCTATGAGGATGCAAAGGCATAATAATGACACAATGAACTTTGGGGACTCGGGGGAAAGGGTCAGAAGGGGATGAGGGATAAAAAATGACAAACAGGGTGCAGTGTATACTTCTCGGGTGATGGGTGCACCAAAATCTCAATTCACCACTAAAGAACTTACTCATATAACCAAACACCACTTGTTCCTCAATAATCAAACATCACCTGTTCCTTTTATTTTTTATGGAAATAAAAAAATAAAATAAGAACAAACTATAATGATAAATGAGTTTATTTCACATTTTAATTATAATGCCTTTTATTTGTATAGAACTTAAAATGTCTAAAGTAGGACTACATTAAAAAAATATTTTAAGTTGAATGAATAATAAAAACACATGTTAAAATTTGTGGAATGTTCCTAAAGCAGTAACTTAGTGGAAAACCTTCTAGCACAGAAGATCTACATTAAAAAAAAATGGTCTTAAACCAATGACCTCAGCTTTTATCAATAACCCTGCTAAAGAAAAGCAAATTGAACCCAAAGGAAGTGTGAAAAAGAAATAATAAAGACCAGAATTTAATCCACTGAAAAAAGAGAGAAAATGGAGAAAAATCCATTAAATAAAAGGCTGATTCTCTGAGAAGGAAAATAACTTAGATTATATCATGACCGGCTAGATCATGCGCATTTCTGAGGTCTACCCCAAAATGCAAAATTGGTTGAACACTCACAGATCCATCAATAATTCAACATATTGACAAAATTAAAAAGAAAACATAGATGATCCCAAATAAATGCAGAAAAGCATTTGATAAAATTCAACATCCATTCCTGATAAAAGCTCTCAGCAAACTAGGAACAACAGAAAACTTCCTCGATCCAAGGAAGGGAATTGGTTAATAACCTACAGCTAACGTAATACTTAATGGTAAAGACAGATTGTCTTCCGTGAAAAATCAAGAACAGAGGTTTTTCTCTCACCACTTCTATTCTCTCTTTATTGCACTAGCCATTGAAATAGTGAGAGAGGATGAAGTAAAAGTCATACAGATGGAAAGAAAAAAATAAAACTTTTGCATGAACAAAATCATTGTCCATGTAAAAAAAATTTAAAATCTGCAAAAAACTACTAGAACAAGTGAGTTTAGCAAGTTTGTAAGATACGTGATCAATAGGCAAAATATATTTCTATAAAATAGCGTCAAATGATTAGAAATTAAAATAAAAATATATGACTTAAATAGCATAAAAATGAAAATACAGTGATAAATCTCACAAAATATGTATACAACTTTGACATTGAAAACTATAAAACACTGCTAAGAGTGTTTTTGAAATATCCTTAAAAAATGGAAAGATGTACCATGTTCAAGGGTAGAAAGACTCAGTATTCCTAAAATGTTAACTCTCCCCAATTTGACCTTTAGATTCAATCCTAGCATTTTTTTTTATAGATTTGATAAGCTGATTATAAAGTTCATATAGAAACACAAAAGACTTAGAATATACAAAGTGAGAGTTCAAGATTTCTTATGAAATTTATCAAAGTAGTGTGAAATTGACATAAAGACAGACAAATCAACAAAACATAGTAGTTCATACAGAAATAAGCACACATATATGAAGAATTTATGGTTTTACAATAGTACGAAAGCATTTCAGTGGAGAAAGGGTAATCTTTTCAATGGATGGTACCAGAACAAATGAAATTAAATTTTAGCATCAAATTTAAAAATCAAAATTTAAAACTTTGCCTTTTGAAGGATATCCTTAGGAGAATGAATTTAACCATGTCAATGTAGTCTTTTTTACAGTACTATTAACTAAAGAAAAATGGATGCTCTTTAAAGATTTTTTTAAGATTAGGAAACAAAAAAGTCAGAAGGGCCAAATCAGGAATATAAGGTGGATATCTAATGACTTCCCAGCAGAACTGCCAAAAAGTTGCCCTTGTTTGATGAGAGGTGAGCAGGATCATTGCTGTGGTGGAGAAAGACTCACTGGAAAAGCTTTCTTGTGTGTTCTTCTGCGACAGCTTTGGCTAACTTTTTAAAAACTCATAATAAGCAGATGTTAGTGTTCTCTACCCCTCCACAGAGTCAACAAGTAAATGCCTTGAGCATCCCAAAATCTTTTGCCAAAACCTTTGCTCTTGCTTGTTTTTTGCTTTGACTGGACCACTTCCACTTTTTGGTAACCACTGCTTTGATTGTACTTTGCATTCCAGATCATACTGATAAAGCCATGTCTCTACCTTGATCCTGTTTGTTTAAAATTTATATTGAAAGCTGTGCTGTCATCTGCAGCTGATTTAGGCATCCATTGAGTGCAAAGTTTCTTGAACTTTGTTTTTTCAGCTGGAATTTTGTAATCTGAACCAATTAACATGTGTATGGTGTTGGGTATTGTTTGCACTGTTAATTGTCAGAACCTATATTCACTGCTGAAGGGAATGTAAATTAGTACAGCCACTATGGAGAACAGTTTGGAGGTTCCTCAAAAAATTAAAAATAGAGCTACCATATGATCCAGCAATCCCGCTTCTAGGTATATACCCAAAAGAAAGAAAATCAGTGTATCAAAGAGATATCTGCAACACCCATATTTGTGGAAGCGCTATTCACAATACCCAAGATTTGGAAGCAATGTAAGTGTCTGTCAACAGATGAATGGATAAAGAAAATGTACATATATATGACGGAGTACTATTCAGCCATAAAAAGAATGTGATCCTATCACTTGCAACAACATGGATGGAACTGGAGGTCATTATGTTAAGTGAAAAAAGTCAGGCACAGAAAGACAAACTTGCATATTCTCCCTTATTTGTGGGAGATAAAATAATTAAAACAGTTGAACTCATGGACCTAGAAAGTAGAATGATGGTTACCAGAGGCTGGGAAATGTAGTGCCAGGAGTTAAGGGACAGTGTGGATAGTTAATGGGTATAAAAACATAGTTAGCACAAATAAGATGTAGTATTTGATAGCACAACAGGGTGATGACAGTCAACAATTATTTGTTGTACATTTAAAAATAACTACAAATTGGGGTGGGCAGGAGGGAGCAAGGGGAAGGAGCACATTGGGACAAATACCTAATGCATTCAGGGCTTAAAACCTAGATGACAGGTTGATGGGTGCAGCAAACCATCATGGCACATGTATACCTATGTAACAAACCTGCACATTCTGCACATGTATCCCATAACTTAAAGTAAAATAAAAAAAGAATAGGAATCTTAGTGTTAATAAAATAAAAGTTAAGCACTAAAATAAATAAATACATAAATAAATAATAAGTACAAGGTCAGGTGCAGTGACTCATGCCTGTAATCCCAGCACTTTGGGAGGCTGCGGTGGGAGGATCACTTGTGTCCAGGAGTTCAAGACAAGCCTGGAAAACACAGTGAGACCTCATTTTACAAAAAATACAATAGTTAGCTGGACCTGGTGGCACATACCTGTAGTCCCAGCTACTTGGTAGGCTGAAGTGGGAGGATCATTTGAGGTCAGGAGGTTGAGGCTGCAGTGAGTTGTGTTTGTGCCACTGCCCTCCAGCCCAGGAAACAGAGTGAGACCTGTTTCAAGAAACATAAAAATAATGAAAATTTAAAAATAAAATAAAATAATTAAAAGAGTATAATTAGGGTGTTTGTAACACAAAGAAAGGATAATATGCTCCATTCACCCTGATGTGATTTTTAGGCCAAAGCATGCCAGTGTCAAATTATCTCATGTATCACATAAATATATGCATCTACTACGTATCCACAAACAAATTTAAAAAGAGTTTAAGTAAAACTAACTTAATTCTCCAAAGGTTATTTTTGTTACTTTGGGGGCTAGATATATCTCTGAAGCTTCTAGAATAAACAGACGGAATTTGAGGAGGACGAAGAACATCTAAGACATTTAGGACAAGAAAAAGATGTCTAAAATCAAATATAGATGCTCCATCCTATCCTATGCTCTCTCTCCCCACATACACATTTGTTTCATTTTATCAAACAAATGCTTTGTAGGACAAACCTTAGGGCAATCGTAAGAGTATGAATTCAGGTCTATAATTGTTTTTCTTAAAGTCTGTGAAGTGTCTTGAAGCTGAATAATCCTGAGAATCATTCAGAAGATGGAAAATCTTAAATAAGGGCATGGATACTTATTCTTTAAAATGAATGTTACGAAATAACAGTGGGCAATAAAAATAATGTAGTGATATGTAAAAATGACATGCAGCCTAACTTAGTAACCAAACCACCCTCCTTGGCCAAGATTCATTAGTCTCCACATCAGTTTTGCTACTGAGTACCTTTATAGAAATGCATGCAATGTGATGGAAATGTACCTGCACCTTATTATACAAGTCGTCTGAATATTAATAATGCAGGAGGCCTGCTCTCTGCAAAAAGATGTTGTATTAGAAAAAGAAAACTGTAAACAGATTTCTAGTGATAGGTATTGTATATGCTCCAGACAGCATCAAGCTTTAATATGTGTGTGAGTGCAAATGTGAATACGTCCTCTTCGACACACACACACACACACACGCACAAACACACACACACACTCCTTTAATGGCACTGGATTTGGGCTTGCTTGTGTTTTTGTTTTTTGTTTTACTTTTTCTTTTGTATTCCTCAGCGAATCTCTACAGAATCTGTAATGTGAGTGTTCTTTGTTCATGATATTGTATACAAGGTTCTCCTGAAAATTAATAAGGCTGCCTCCAACTCACAGCCCTATTTGCATACTGCTCCCCTACCAGTTAGCTTTTGATTTTCCTCTGTATCTCTTTATCTTCAGGCTGTAGCTGAATGGTTCCTCTGCCAAATCCCAGATCACCCTTTCATACAGATTTCACATGATATTCTTCTTCAATTCTGGACCTTGTATTTTGGGCATTTACTGCTGTAAGGCTCTTATTATTATTTTATATTTTCTTTTTCCAAAACACAAAATATGTGTCAAATTAACTTAATAAGGCAGTGCTAAAGGGTTAATGAAAACAGAATTCTATAATAATAATTAGGATTATAACCAAGAGCTTTCCAGTAAAGTTACAGTGCAATTAACCCTTTAAGAGTATAATATTAAGTAAATCTAATTTAATAGAATGTTAAATTGGTGGGTATTCTGTTTTCTTTTTTTTCCTTACTACCGGGATTCCCTCTGAGAAGAACTCAGCAAAGGGAAGACTTAGCTGCTCCTTTATGACCTAATATAATTGAAGTTTTTGATGCACGGACAAAAAGGGTTAGACGTGCTGAGGGTGAGCTTCCAATATTCATTCTCTCTTTCTCTCTCTCGCTCTGTCTCTCTTCTCAAACCATCTTTTGCTTCCCCAGAAGGCTCTACTGTACATCACTAGTTCATGATGTTTACAGGGCCATTACTTAGTAACTCTTGATTTTGAGGTTGAGGTTAGCAGTACCTTTTAATCAATCAAAGGCACATCACTTCCGCTGGAGAGCACATATTCAGCTCTTAGGAATCTCATGACCCTTGGCCTGTCCCAAGATTCTGAATGTTCCCCCTTCCCTTGAAAACTCATTTTCTCTTTATAATTTCAAATATCTCCTGGAATGGGCAACATTTACATACTTTTCAGCCAGAAGAATATGACAGTTCACATATTTTTACCCTCTTAAATTAAATCCAAAGCACCTTGGATGCCAACACAATGGCAAGAGAACCTTTCAGAAAGCCATGACCAAAATGTTAAATAGTTTTAAAAGTTATTTGGGGGAAAAAACAAAATGTTTGATTCTAAAGCCTTTACTGACTATTTATTAGAGGAAGAGAACAGAGCAGGAAACATGCATTTCTTTGTAACGAGTCACATCTCAGGTGTCAAAGGCACAGAAGTGCCATGTGCAAGCAGCGTAAAACAAAGGAGAGCCACCCTGCAGGAGGCTCAGCAGCTGAACAGATGAGCTAGCAGTTAAAGAAGTGTTCATCCTCTTCTATGTGGATTTTGTCTTGACTGTCTCAGAAGATGCATGGTGTTCCTTTAGAAGTGTTGTCTTTGTTTGACTCAGTAGTTGCCTTTTGGATAATCAAGCAGAGTGAAAAAGCATATCTGTACCTGATGCTGATGAGGAGGTATCACAGGATCTGAACTGGCACTGGGTGACAGGTATATCTTAGCTTGTTCTCTAGCCATTCTCCCCCTTCCTATGTATGTTGCGATATTATTCTAGACTGAATTACTTATGCTTTACAACATGTACAGAAGCAAATTTGCACGTCGATTTTCTTGGTGAAGGGAGAGATGGATGTTTTCTAAAGTCAGATAAACTCACTCAGATAAGCAACTGGGGTCGCTCTAAAAGAAGATAGGATTTGCCTTGTTAAAGTGTGAACAAGAAGGCACTCTCCAGGAAGGCAATGGGTCTCAGGAGAGCGGAGCAATTTGGGAATTGGGGTATATCACAAGACAAAATCACATAACAGGTGTCCATTTTTGTGCCCCACTCATCACACCTGGGCCTAGAAGGTTAGTCATATGCAGCGTGCAGCTTTTATTTTTGAACACTCCTCAATGCATTTAAATTTCCTTTTGTTACCAAAACTCCTCAGTAAAATCAACATTTCCATTAAAATGTGTAAACATCTTGTAGAAAATTAAGCAATGGACCTTTAATGGAAATACAGTCTACCCCATATTCTCCTTTCCTGTTTTGAAAAGTCTGTGAGGAAGAAGTGATATCTTATTGAGGAGAACTGCGAAATAGAAGTTCTAGGTGTTTGCCAGTATTAGTAACCCCCCAAAAGCTGAATTCAGTGTTCATAAGATAGAGAAATAACAAACCAGGGACACAGCTCAAAGGCTAAAGGGAGACAACTCCCTCTTCTCAAAACCTTGTAGGAAATTTATCCTTACAAGGAGTGAAACTACCAACAAGATTATACTTCCTATATACTTAACAGGAAGTGACAGCAATGTTTAGCCTTTTGTTAAATGTCTTTTGTAGGCATGTTGAACTCTCATTACTACCTTGGAAAAATATTGAGATACGCAAGATGGTTTTTCTTTTTTAAAATGTCCCAAGATTGTGGTAATTTGGGGATCCATTTTGATTTCTTATTGGCTTTATTATTTGGTGCCAGCTCTTATATTCACTTCTTTTCAAAGAGTAGACCTGCCTCTAGATAATTCTTCCTTTTTATCTAATCTATTGACTCTAGTTACTGATGAATGAGAAAACAAGTAACAGTAAACTAGAATAATAGAAAATGATTTTGTAAGTTGAGCCTGAACAGATTGCTTGTAAGTCAAGAGCAGACCCGGTATTAGTTTAGATCAGGTATTATTAGCTCCTCCAGGCAGGCAGCTCTGATTTTCTGGAGCTTCCCTAGTGCTCCCTGCTTGGTTTCCCAGAATCATATTGCCCTGTGTCCATCTATTTCTTGTTGATTTCTATTGATGGACTATATGTTCCTTGAATTTCAGGACTCAGCATATCTTGATGACTATATATTCCCATCACCTATCAAAAAGGCTGGCAGAGGGTACGTTTTCGATGATATTCTTAGCTCAAACAAATAAATGAGACATTAACTATTATCTCTTATTGTTATCAGAGGAGAAATATAGCATTTTAAAAATTATTCCCTCCAGCTCTCTCCTTTCTTTATTTCCCATGTCAATAAGCCCATGTTCCCCCAAATTACTTAAACTAGGGTTCACAACTCTGTATGTACATTGGAGTCACAGAGGACTCTCTACAAAGCCCCCATGTCTGGGCCCTACCCAAGAGGAATTCAATCACTTCTCTGTGAATGTGAACCATGAAACACTTCTTGTATTTATTATTTTATGAATGTACATTTATTTGTATTTATTTTTGCTGTTAATTCTTCCAGGTAATCAAAACATGAAGCCAAGATAAAGAATCACTGAATTTGTCTACTCGGTTTTACTGATTTCTTTGCTCATTGCCAAGTATTTTGTATGTACCCTTTTGATTCATTTTGTTATTTTGTTTTTTTTTCCATGAATTTTAATAATGTCTACTGTTTTAAAATGTATATGATATACTTTAAATTTTTTTTCATCTTCAAATATTTTGGGGGTTGCCATCAAGTACAAATGAAAATTTGGCTAGATATATAATAATTGGGAATGAACATTTTCCTCTCAGCAACTGATATGGTTAGGCTTCGTGTCTCCACCCAAATCTTATCTTGAATTGTAATCCCCATAATCCTCACGTGTCAAGGGAGAGACAAGGTGGAAGTAATTGAATCATGAGGGGCAATTTTCCCATCTGTTCTCGTGAGAGTGAGTGAGTTCTCAGGAGATCTGATGGTTTTATAAGGGGCTCTTCCCTCTTCACTGAGCATTTCTGCTTGCTGGCTTGTGATGGAGGTGTTGCGTCCCCTTCGCTTTCCATCGTGATTGTAAGTTTCCTGTGGCCTCCCTAGCCATGCTGAACTGTGAGTCAATTAAACTTCTTTCCTTTATAAATTACCCGGTCTTGGGCAGTACTTTCTAGCAGTATGAAAACACACTAAAGAAGCAATTTATGACAATTTCAGTTCTTTGGCATTTACTGATACTGAGAAAAAATATGATTTATTAGTCACTATGCTTTCATTAGTAATTCCCCTAGCTTCATAAATATATCCCCTTAAATGTCTTTGCAGGTAAGAATTAGATAATTTCTCAACTTTGATAGAATAACTGCTTTTATTTGGTTTTGTTTTCAGAGAGCAGAATTTGAATTCTTTTTTCATTTTGGTTGCCTTCCTTTGAAGTATAAGGTGTTTTAATGTATTTTGCAGTCTTTCTCAGAGGGCACTGTGTGTCCAATATTGAGATTTAGGATTGGTTCTGTCAGAGTGGTGTGAGTTCCTATCAAATCTTTTAAGCCCCAAAGAAGGGGCAGATGTTGAAGCCAATTACAGCCTTTAGTTATAAATATGGGTTTCAGGTGCTCATTGAGAGGAATAAATAAAATACAGCTGGAGGCAACCTGACCAGAGAATCACTGCTGGGCCAAAGAGATTGTTGCCTTGTGTACCAGGGTGACTGAGTTGTTGCTGTTTTAGAAGCTGCCTGCAGTTTACACCTGAGGCTTAAGAAGAAGTTGGGATTCATAGGGGACATACTGTTCTTTGGAAAACACCATAGCGGTTATTTTTCTAGGTTGTTCAATCTTTCTTGGTGGGAGAGACTGTAACAAAAGAAGGTGAGTAGCTCTGTATAGTAGAGTAACAGGAATTAGACCTGTTCCTTGGAGGGTACAAAAAAATCAAAACAGACACGCAAAAAAAAAAAAAAAAAAAAAAAAAAAATCCTTGGTGACGAGGTTAAGGCAGGTGGGAGGGAATGGGCTTTGGAGGATGAAGGAGCTCTTGGTTTTTTTATGTAATCAAAGAAGTTTGGCCAGTGAGAAAATTTCTCTGGATGACCTAGAAAATTCAGTATCATTATGCCTAACATTTAATTTTAAATTGTTCAGTATTCTTTGCTGTGCTTTAGACCTTTTGAGTTATACTCAAATCTTCAGAAGTAGTACATTACAAACACTAGAATTTTATTAATGGCATATTAGAAAATGAAGGAGGAAGGACAGTACCTGAAGTGGGAGTGGCCTTCAGAAGACCTGAGATAATAAAGGCTGACCAAGGAAACAAAATGTACCCCACCTCCAGGTAGCTTCAGAAATGCTGGGAAGACTACTGGAATTTCCACAGTACGATATAGGGAGACAGGAGTCATTTTCATTTCCTTTAAAGGGAAAGTGCTAGAGGAATTGGAAACAGAAGATTATACTTGCTTTTACAAGTGTAAATGACTCAACTCTAAGTTCTAAGTTCCCTCACTGAGGAACTACTATGATGCTTCTATTTTTCCTGGAATGCTGTTAGGGCCGGGAGTAAGCCAAGGAAAAGTCCTCAGCCACTAAGGCCTAGGACCCAGGACTCAAAACTGTTCTTGAAGGGACAATCCCCAGATTCCATAGTTGCCTCCCTCCTCTGCCATCCTGATTTAGGCTGTGTAAGTAGATTCCTGTAGGGACTCCATTCACTCTCCCCCAATAGATTTTTTTATTCAGATGTCTTATGTTCTACAATGTTTATGATAAACTTCTCTCTGTCGTAAACTGTAATATGTCTTATAGGAATTTCTCATCATTTCTACAGATGGAACCCTTCCATACCAATAGTTTTGTTTTATTTTGGGCTTTGATTTATATTCCTGTGAATCTGGGAGGCCAGCTGGATAGCCCAATTTGTCTCTTGCACATTTAGATTACTTCATGTTTTCGTAAGGGTAGTTTCAAAAATCTTTTTATTTGTTAATTTGTTTAAACAAACTACTTTCTCTTAAATGTGAATAAGAAATATCACAACTGTTGTGCTATTTAATTAGCTCATGATCCTTATGCCTCAGAATAGAAATGTGAAATGGTCAGGTATTGGTGAATTTATTCTGGGGAGATGTGATGAATGGATTTGCTTCCTCTTGCTGCTGTAACAATTACCATAAATGTAATGGCTTAAAATGTAAATGTGACACAAATGTATTAACTTAGAGTCCCGGAAGTCAGAAGCCTAAAATGGGTCAGGACTGCATTCCTTTTGGGGGCTTAGGTGAAAATCTGCTATTGTGCCTTTTCCAGCTTCTAGAGGCCCCTTGTATTCCTTGGCTTGTCGTCTCTCCTTTGATTTTTAAAGACAAACAGTACCACAGCATCTTCAAATCCGTCTCCGAATCTCTCTCTGATCTCTGCTTATCACTTCTCCGCTGGCTGACCTTCCTCCCTCCGGCTCATAAAGACCCTCATAATTACAATATGCTCACTTGGATAAGACTGGCTAACTTCTCCATCTCAACATTCTTAACCCATCATGTGTGCGATGTACCTTTTGCCACGTAGGGTAACATATTCACAGGTCCCAGAGATTAGGATGTCAATGTCTTTGGGGGATCATTATTCCATCTACACAGTGAATAAACACTTCACTACCTGCATGCAGATATTAGGACATCCATTGAGGCTTGCAGTAAATGGAGAATCTTATCTCAGTGTTAAATAATTGAACTCAAAACATTCTCCAGGGAACAGCTCCGGACCCAGGGAGCCAACTGGACTCATGGAATAAAGATATGATTTCCCCAAATGAAATAACTTCAGAAGACAAGTAATCATTTAGTAGAAAACACTGTGCTTTCTCTTACCTCCAGCCATCAAAGACATGGCTTTTTCTAATAGAATATTTCACCATATCCTCCTTTTTCTACTCATCCTTCAGATCTTACAGCTAATTAATGTTGAAGCAGCATTGTCAGATGGAGTTTTTCAGGCCTGATGATTTTGGACAACACTTTGTATGTTAGTACCCCATAGACTCTGGAGTTGCTTGCTGAGTAATTTTAGATGACTAATAACCTCATAATTAGATAAATAATTGATATGGCTTAATTATATGCTCCTTTACAACTTTATTAATATTCGTGTTTGAGCTGTAGTTTCCTTTCTGCCCTTTACCTGCCTCAGAGAAAACAGAATCCTCCCCGGGTTTGGCAGAACGTGCTGGAGAACTCTTGCCAGCGCTCAGGATATGTAAATTAGCCATCTTGTTCCAAGGCATTAGCAGCTGTTGTTTTTAATTATTAATGAGATGGCCAGTATTTGCTATAGGAGAGTGGAACCAAGTGAATGGGTTTGGTACTTGTCTTATTTAAACTCTATTTTTTATTCAAGGACCCTCAGCCAAAGTAGTTGAGTTGCTCAGAAGGTGGCCAGAGGTCTGCTGGCATTCCCAGATTGTGTGTGTCACTAGGCTATGCGCTGTTGTATTCTTCTTAGGCATTGGCCTGTGTTGGGCTAGACTATAGTTAGTTAGGTATGATTAATAAATCATTGATCTATTATCGGTTGAAATAATAAAAGTACTTCCCAAATGCAAGAGATGTTTCTATTATTACCTATCATAACATCAATAAGACAATAAGTATAAAGTTACTTTATTAACTGGAAAAGCTAGAAATCATAGAAATGTTATAGGACATTTTATATGTACCACCTGGATTAAATAGTAGAACACAGTAGATGATTATAATATCTGCCAATTTCTTTCAAAGGCACTATCTTAGAACTGCATTTAAACTGAAGTATATAATTGCTTTCCTTTCAACTCCATTAATTTAAAATCTGCAATACATTTGAACTTCTATTACAAATATTGTCAATTGCTTGGTCACAGGTTTTGAAACTAGAGGCTTTGTTGTTTTTATTCTGCTGCCTCCTACCATCACAAATTTTAAAATCTAGAATATGGGATAGATACATCTTTCCCCTTCTATTACCTTCCTATTATCATGGTCTAGGGTATTAAGGTGTCACACTTATGCTACTATAGTAGCTTCTGAACTAAACAATTTACATCCAGTCTCTCAGTTTTCCAGATATTGGCTCCCATTGCTGGAAAACAAACAAACAAAAAAACCTCAATACTCTTAAAAAAAAAAAACAAAAAAAACCCTGCTTTCTGCTTTTTTGTTGTTCACTTTTTTATTTTTAAAAATTGTTTGTGGGTACATAGTAGGTGTATATATTTATGGAGCACATGAGATGTTTGGATACAGGTATGCAATGTGAAATAGGCACATCACTGATAATGGGGTATCCATCCCCTCAAGCATTTATCCTTTGAGTTACAAACAATCCAGTTACATTCTTTATCTGAAAATATACAATTATATTATCATCGACTATAGTGACCTTATTGTGTGATCAAACAGTAGGTCTTATTCATTCTTTCTAACTTTTTTTTTTAACTCATTAACCATCCCACCTCCCCCAACCCCCTACTACCCTTCCCAGCCTCTGGTCATTATCCTTCTATTCTCTACATCCATGAGTTTAACTGATTTGATTTTTAGGACCCATAAATAAGTGAGAACATGCAATGTTTGTCTTTCTGTGGCTTATTTCACTTAACATAATGATCTCCAGTTCCATCCATGTTGTTGCAAATGACTGGATCACATTCATTTTTATGGCTGAATAGTACTCAATAGTCTTTTCATTATACCAACTTACTTAAAAGGGTCCTACATCATAGCCAATAGGTTAAGGCAGGAAAATGGGAAAACAAAATATTATTTAAAGGTAATTTAAATCTCTGGAAAGGTAAAACTGCTTTTACTTAAAATAACAGTTGATTTTTAAATTATATCAATTAAATTTTAATAAATCTGAGACTTTAAGCTTGAGCAGGGCATGCTGAGTATAGTTGTACCAGGGCGACAACTGACATGTGACTCAGCTCCTCTGGATGCCTTTCACCAGTGATTCCATGTTCCCAGATCAAGCCCCATGGCCTGAGGTTGGAAGTAGGGGTTGCCCTGTGATGAGGAACAGGAAGGAATTACAGTATCTTTGGTTTCTCTGTAGAAACTTTCAAAGTAAATTACTCTTACATTCTTACTTGGTGAGATTAAAGTCATGATCATGTGTCTATTTTATTAAATTTCTGGCATCATTTCCCCCTAATAGTGAGTTTATGCTACATCAGGCGAAGCAGTTTGTGTGCTACAGTATTTCCTGCCTACATTAGCGATTTGGCAGTTACAAATTCAAGAAGGACTAAACTGTTTTAATTCTTTCTTTCTTTAAAGAGCAACCTTTAAAGGCCTTGCTTTGTGTTCTTTGTGTGTGTGTGTTTTCTTCATTGAATGAGAACAAAGGAATATACCATAATGGTCTCTGCAATGATTGAAGCCTTCTAATGAGAACTAGATGGCTTTCTGAAAGTTTCCTTGCCTGGTACTCTGGTAAACTCATTTCTTACCAACTGCTTAAATATCAACAGTTACACTTGTTAGTCATAGCAACACAAAACTCAATTTATAATTTATTCTATTATAAAAATATTACCAATGATTAACTACTTAAATCATTTTTATTAAAAATAACAATTCAAGATGTTGGGTCTGAATTACCTGAAAAAAACACTTAAACAAAAAATTGAGTACACTATTCAATTCAAATAAGGAAAAAAATGTAAGAAAAATTTAAAGAATGAAGTTATTCCTTTCCTAATTGTATTTGAAAGCACTAAGAATGAGTACTACATATGCAGATATAATCCTCAAAGTACTCTTTGTCTGGCAAAAAAAATGAAACAATATAGGAGGAAAAGATAGTGATGAGAGTACCTTCTACATCTGGCCAGTTGTGCAAAGATCCTGAGGAGTGATTTCACTCAGAGACATACATTTAAGCACTAGCCAGGATAGAGTATGAGAGACCCTACAATGTAATATAAGGAATCTGATCATTTCATCAGTTATTATTTTTGTATCTTTAAAATTTTCATCTATATAATATATCACAATCCCATTTTAAAGGAGAAAGTATAATTTCTATTTTTCTGGTTCACTCTTGAGCAGAGATTTCTTGGAAGATTCTATAGGTTCAACAGCCACATACAAATTATCTTATACTGTAATTTTATATATTTACACTATAACACATAAAAAAAAACAGGCACTGCATTGCAGAGGATTGAGAAAGCAGCATTTGCTTCATAGCCTTCACAGAGAAACATGTAAGAAATAAAGTATTTCTCCACTCTATTGATTCAGATTATATTAGTCTAGAGAGATCTCTTTAGATGATTACTGATTATAGAGCTCAAAGTCATAAATAGAGCTTATGATATTTCTCCAGAACTTTAAGTTATTCTTAAGCAGATGTTTTCCCGTGATTGAGGTACATACTATGGTTCCACATACACTAATATAAGGTGTTTTTTTTTTTTTGAATTTTAATTTTAATGGAGTCAAGGGCTTCTCTGTGCTTTACATGAACTAGTAACTATGTTAGCTTAAGCAAGGTTTGCAACTAAACAATAAAATAAAGAGGTCAGAGAAAATGGTATAAACAATTTTCAGGAAACAGGAGAGAGTAACGGGGAGAAAATTTCCACGATACGTTATTGTGGCGCCTTTTATTTACTGCCGAAAATGGCATTCCTTGAATTTGACATTTAATTAAGATGATATAGCAAAATGGTGGATATCATTTTTGATGTCTGATGTTTGTTGTAGATGTCGGTTTAACAAACAAATCTGTAGAGAAGACCAATACTCACTGATTAGAAGCAAGTTGGTCTATACAGGGAGACGTGGACGTGCTCAAGGCATGCTTGTTAACAAAGGCCACTGATCGGACGGCTGTGATGCCCCATTGGTTGGAGACATTTAAGACCATTTGGAACAAAGATTCTCCCTGAGTACTCATTCGGGAACCATTTTAACTTCTAGTTAATCTGATGATTTCTGATTAGTCAGAAATGTGAGAAATTCTGTGGCCATGAGAGTAAAGATAAGTAATCAGGGTCAGAGATACAGACTTTGTGCATGTTGTATTATTGCTACTTTGGGCAAATAAGGTGAGGAAGAGACCAGCTGAATGTGGCCATGATTGCTGGTTGCTCAGTGAAGACATGTAATTATAGAGCTCATGTTCCTGTTAGAGGTAGAGGGTGGGTTAAAGCTGATTCTACCAATGATGCCTGAAAGTTCAAACATGGCAAGTCCTGCCTCTCTGCTCCCTATCTTCACAGCACTTGAAAATTCCCCACATTCTAACTTGTAGGAAGACCTAACAGTTTGAAAGCCTTCATCTTTTTAAGTGGATTAAGAATCCAGTTATCAGTATATCTAAATGGGATTGTAGGTACATCACCTTCTGAGATGGAAATATGGTGGTAATATTGAATGTCAAGTTCTACCCAGATGATTGGGTTTTATAGATGTGGACATTCATAGTTATTACCAGTAATCTCAAGGAAGAGGAATGGGGAAAAGCACAAGTGAGAGGTGCTGTGCTGGACACAGGGTGGCTGCTCTCACTCAGCCTCATTGCCTCCATCCTTCTTGTGTAGTGAACTTTCATGTTGGCTGTGAATTTGCTACTTGGGAAAGCCTTTAATCTCCCCAGTCCATCTGTCAATAGGAACAACAATCTTTCTTTTATTTTTAAAGGAATTGTAAGGAATTGTTGTGATGATTAAATAAGCTGATGCCCTGAAACACTTCGTGGTCTGAGTTGGTCTGTGGATACATTATGTTTTTTTTTAAGCTGATTTTATGTAATGCTCTCATACTTGCAATAAGAATCATAGTGCTGCTTTGCCAACTAGGAAGTAATTTTTAAAATTCTCTAGACTCAGTACAGGCTGCATATCCAATGAGCAAAAACAATTAGAAATATGGGGCTAATCCTGTAATAGAAATATGTCAATCTTGCTAGTAAAACTGGAAGTGTGAATCTCTCGCACCCACAAGCAGAAACTGGGAAGAGAACTGCATTCTGTGAAGTCATAAACTGTAATTTCAAAGTTTAAATCTTTTCCAATAAAAAAGCAGGTCTTGAATGATGTTTGTTGGAGCTTCTAGGGAGAACTGAACCGAATAGTTTTGTTGAAGAAATCAAAAATATTTTTGTTTTGGTCTTTCCTTTGTTGTCTCTTTCTAGGGAGGATGATGGAAAAGGGAGAGCCAATGGGGAAAGGAGGGAAAAGAGAGAAGGGGACACTAGGAAAGTCACTTGGCCATGCGAAAAAGCTAATGTGTATAGGAGAAATGTTCATTGTGTCATGTGGAAATGTTTTGAAGTGGTGAAATATGAGCCTCTTCTGTCCTTCCTGAGGTGAACAAATTTCCTGTACCATGGGATTAAAATCTAATATGTGTTTGCATATGAGCAAGAGCATGAGGGGATGGTTGGGATAGACAGGAAATGACGAGTAGATGGATGGATGGTTATATAGGTAGATAGGAGAGAGAAAGGGAGGGAGGGAGAAAATAGTTACTTATTGTGATAAGTGCTATGAAGATTTACTTATGGAGTTTCAATAGATAATATCAGAGGGTACTTTTCTTAGGGTAGGCCTACCTGAGAATAAAAGAAGAGGCCTACAAAAAACCAAGGGAATGAAGATAAGCAACAAGAAAATAGCAAGCCCAAAGGCTCTAAGGCAGATCAGAGAGATCTTGTGTTTTAGGAATGGCAGGGCCAGCTTAAAGGGAAAAAATTGACAAGGAAAAGTATCACAAGATGAAGTTGACTTGATCCACTTATGTGTTTTTAAAAACAAAATAAATCACTCTGGCTACTATGTGACAAATGGATTGGAAGGAGGCAGAATCACTCTGCTGACATCAGGATTAATCTTGCATTAGAATATGATTCAAAGTCAACATTCAAATGTCTAGCAACATACATCTGTATTAATCAGAGTGAGAATTTAATCAATTTATTGAATGATCAAATGAAGGGATGAATGAAAAAATGAACACTATATAAACAATTATTTAACTTGACAGTGGTTTTCAAACCAAAACACATTTACAGTGTGCTTTTTCATAAAAACCTAAAATAGGTTCATGGCAGATGAAAATTATGAAGAGGAGATCTTATCAACAGAAGCAACCCTATGATGAACTGTCAGAATTAATGAAGAGAGTTAGTCATCTCTGATTTTGTTAAATAGTACAGTCTCTGTTAAGTAATACAGATTTTCTCACTTGAAAAGAATTATAGTTTTATGAATGCCTTAGTCCTAAATTTGGAGTTTTCTCAGTGTTAATCTCAAATGCAAAATATATCTAACTCACAGTCTCAGAGAGGTTAAGGATCCAGTGTGGGAGCGTGCAATTTTGTCATTGTGTCATGTGAAATTGTTTTATGTGTTTCAGTGCAAAGTAAAAATACAAAGAAATCATCATTTAGGTGATAAATAATTGGCTTCCAGACTAACATTTTAACTGATTTACCCATGTTTTTCCTCTAGGATAGCTATAGTTGTTTGATATATCTCTTTTCCAGCTGATCAGTGATATTTAGGGGAACATTTCTTTAACTGTATGCAAATTGGTCATGAAACACAGAAAGCCAAGCAATATGCCACAGAGTGAGATTTGTTAGGAATATAAGCTCTAGAAATATTGAGCTGTTAATCAGGCAAGGAACACATCAAAGGCATTAAGAGTAATGGATTGGCCAAATCACACAGTGCTGTCAGGACATACAATACAAGAGTCCTGTGCACTCCTGGGATGTTCAATAATTGATCAAAAGTAGCCTTATCAGAGGTGAATCAGAAATCAATCATTGCTTCATTGCTTGGATACACAGTGACAGCTCCATTTAAAGTACTTGTAGAATTTCTGAGAGAGGAAAAAATGGAATTTAAAATTAGTTCTGTTAGTTACTAATAAATTGAGATAAAAATCAAGAATTTCTTTCCATATTTTCAAGGAAATAGAATTTTAACTATCCTGATTTTGGGTACTTACAGAACTATTAGGGTATCACCTCCTTACAATGAAAAAAAGGAGAAATATAAGAATAAATTCCATTTTTCAGTGATCCATATGAAGGTAAGAAAACATATTGTTGCATAGAAATAGAGAATTTGTATCAAAAGCTATGAAAGATTTGAGAAAAACTTAAGAGGCTCCATTCCTGCTCTTGCGTCTCTCTAAGGCGTTAAAAAGTTTGAGTTGTGGGTTCCATTATTATTCCTGCTTGAGGTTGTAGAAGATACTTAGACCTTTATATCAGTTTCCTTACATGTAAGATACACCAATTATCTTCAGAATTATTGAAATGATTAAACGAGGTAATGTATAGTAAAGTATTTTAAAATGGCAATTAAAATAGTTATAATAATGCTGATAAAAATAGTATCATTTACTATGTATATATGAGTGAATAACTGCAGAAAAAAGGTAAACAGGAAAGTAGAGAAAAACGTAAATGTGTCTGAACAATTCCAAATGGAAAATGTTGTTTGAAGATGTTAGCAGTTAAAATTATGACTTTAGGATATAATTTTGTCAGTGATAACTCAGGAGTCAACTGGCATCTATATTGCTGAAAAGTCCTGGCTCTTGACCAGGAGTGAGGACAGTAGGGTACAGGAAATGATTTTGTGGGGCTTGGAACATCCTACTGCTGCAAACCCACTTTATCCTAATCCCTCTGAGCCCTCAATAATCCAGTGTTGGGAACTCACACAGCTGTGCCATGGAGAAGCAAGTTATGATCAGGTTCAAATAACAAGAATTTCAATGACTACACTCGGGTGAATTTTATGCCAGTGAAGAGAAAGATGGTAGCTGTGATGTCTCATTAGAACCAGTTCATCTAGATTAGTAAACAGGAAGGCAGTTACTGAATGATGCTGATTATTAAGGAAAAATAGGTTTGCTGCTATACAGTAGGAGACAGGCGAATACATCTGAACAAGAGTGTCTATGAGGTATCTTAGAGGACATCGGAAACTTCAATACCAGTGCTCACACTCTTCAGGAATGAAGCTTCAGTTGTCCAAGATGCAAATAATGGTTAACAATCTGATGTGCTGCCTCAAGGTAAAGGAATCGTGGAATATATTGTGAAAGGTGGAAATTATAAATACCAGCCATGGTCTCACGATCAGTTGCAAAAACAAGAAAATGCGTATTTCTTTCCTTCTTTGTTATGGCCATATTATTATAGTAAACAAATTCCTTCTCTTTTCTTTTATATAAAGTATACTGTTGGTTTTGAACTTCATGATTTAATTTTTACGTTGTAGTATCTCAGGGTGGAATTTTGAATAGATGAAGAATTAACTACACAAAGGAAGAGAAAGAGTGGTTGATGAGTCTCCTCTTTAAGGGAGGGAACAAGAGACTTATCTTTATACAGGGGACTGTTACATTACAGTAGAGAGGACCAAGTGGATCTTTCTATTATCACTGTTGAATATTATGGATGTGTGTCTCTATAGGGTTGTCTATGTGGGATAACTGGATGTTGGGATCAGCCTCTATTTCAGTTTCCTTTTTTGGAAGGTTTGGAATGGTAAAAAATACATATTTTTTCTAGACAATTTTGTAGCCAGTATTCTGGATATTAATTAGTTTCTGCCAATTAAATGCACTCACATGCACAATTTCACTTTTCTTTTTGGGGGGAAGATTTGGAAAGGTAAATATTACATTAATGCAAAAGTAATTGTGGTTTTTGCTGTTAAAAGCAACAACAAAAACCGCAATTACTTTTGCACCAACTATATATTTTCTAGACAGCTTTGTAGCTAGTATTCTGGATATTAATTAGTTTCTGCCAATTAAATGTACTCATATGAGATTAGAACAACAAACCCATCTCTCTGTCTATGCTAGCTGACAAGCAAGCTCTAGCAAACATGAGTGTCCGAAGCGGATTCATTTGCTTGTCACCAGCTTCATGGGTTTGAGACAGCTGTGGCAACGACAGCGGTGATAGTATAAAAGCAGATAGTTCCTGCCAGCGAGTCTGTGTCATGAAGGTGTCACCTTGAAAAGCAAATTTACTAGTAGCCCCTGACGTCAGCTCTCTAGCTTTTTCAATGATTTCTATATTAATTCCACTGTGCTTGAAAAACCTAGAGTAGTTTGTTTTCCTGCATTTAATCTCTTGTTGTCTAGGAATTTCTTTGAAAGGACTACAGTGTAAGCTCTAGGACCAACAACTTTAGACAGGTGTTTTCTGTTCCTCCAAGGGAATCAGAAACCCCTTATTAGAAGCCTAGCATAGAAGTGCAACAAGAAAGTTTCAAAAATAGTTATTTGATGTATGGATGTATGAAGTATGATAGGGAAATAAATGAGAGAAGTAATAAGAAAAAGGAAATTATTTGGGTTGTAACCTGCTTCTGAAAAAGCAAGTGACTTTTAGAAATAATTAGCAACTAAGTAAATCAAGGTTAATAGATAGTGAATTCCAGAGAGAATGAGAGCTGGTATTTGCCAAGTTCTCTACTGTATACTAGACATTGTCTAGTATTTAGAGTATTTAGTATATGTGTGTGTGTGTGCATATATATATATATATATATATATATATATATATATATATATAAAATATTTAGTATACTTTTCAAACATTATTTCCTTCAAGCCCCATAACATCTATACTAGGTAGGTGGTATTATTATTATTACCATTTCACAGATGCAGAAACCAAAGATTCTGGGTGTTAAGTTCCGTAGTATTTAACACAAGTAAACTTTGTACTTGAACCACAAAGCTTTAATTTTGCAAAGTGTGGTGTCGATGACTACCCCATACTACCTCTTACTGGTCTGGAGAACATTTTTTCTGAACATGCCAGCCAGAAAGACCCCTGAAAATCAGTTTTTCCAGATGATTTTGCCCCTGAGGGACATTTGGAAGTGTCTGGAGACATTTTTTTATTATGACTGGGGATGCTGAGGACATCCAGTGGGCAGGGGCTCTGCATTCTACAGTGCACAGAACATTGCTCACAACATAGAATTATCTGGTTCAAATGTCAATAGTGCCAAGTTTAGGAAACTCTGGGTTAGTCAAACATTTCTCAAACCACCCCATAGAATTTCTATGTACTGTGAAGAACAGACTTGTGATTAAAAAATACACCTTAGGAAGTGCTATGTTTTATTCTTTTTGAATACTCTCTATGAATATTGTATTTAAAACCTTATTTTAACATATAATTTAAAATTCTGAAAAGTCCTACAACAAAGACACCTGCTTACCTTTGTTTACGCCATAGTTAGGGATATTCATAGTTAGGATCACAGATGGAAACGGTCACGGCAGTCATATGTGACTCACCCAAGTTACTGGAATAAAAAAACACAATAAAAAGGCAATTTTCTTGACACCAACTCTAAAAGTTGTAAGATGTTTTTCCAGAAAAGTATATATTAATTTTAATTTACAAAGTTGAATATTGAAATCAAAAAAGAGCAAATAAAATGTTATGAACCACAGTTTAACAATCCTATTTTCAGTCAATTGGCAGAGATCAAACTTCATAGGTATCTCATGTTTTATAAGGGCACTGACGCTCCTTCTGGTTCAAGGTGGAGAGGGGATAGAAATGGAGCTACATGGAAGTTCTATCCTTTAATACCTTACATTTCACTGCTGAATATGACAGAGTCCATAAGCAGGAGGGGAGATAATGGCAAGCGATGGGTTAACTTCTGCAGGGTTGTTCCTGCTTACAAGGCAAATCCATAATTATTAAGCTACATACCTGCCTTGGCCTTTGTTCTCTTTGGAAAACTGACTATACACACTCTGTTGCTTTCTTCTTTACATACTGCCAACTGTCCAACATTGTAAACCCTATATTCCCTTGAAAGGTCCTTAGAAGAGTGGGAAGTAACACAAACCTATTTAACAATGTTTTTCTTGAATAGAAAGATGGAGATGGGCCATTTTTCAGTGTTGTCTCAAAGGAACCCATCGGGGGGGAAAACAAAAGCCTTGGAACAATGTTTCTCACCATACTTCAGACTGATTTGGAAGAGAAGTCTCTGCATGCCAATTTCTAACCATCTACTTTTCTGCACAGCTTAATGGTTGGCTTGGCACACCTCTGGGTTCCTTCAGACTTGGGCACAAGTGCCTATTCCTTTCTCATAGTGAGATTTAGTCAAGCAAAGCCAAAACCATTGCTATGAGTTAAACACTCCCCAGGGAGGGGGCGCCAATGACTAGGGAAGTAATGAACCTCTATTTAACTTTCAGATTTTGTTAATAACAGTTTGACTTGTACTGGTAGGAGCTAATTAGTTACTGCGGTTTCTCCATTACTGGCTTATAAAATGGGGCTTACCTTGTGCATGTTAAGCAATTTTCTCAGTGTGGGTCATTTTAGAGAAAACAGATGGAAACTCAGGGTCTTAAGCATGCATGATCATTTTGCTTTGTTGTGATTTACTTTCGTATGGAGTTTCAAGAATGTCTACAGGTCGAGTTCTGACCAGTTCAGAAGCATATACTAAGACAACATGGTTTAACTTGATTTGGGGATTAGCTCAATTATTTGTGAAGCATTAAAGAGTGGAGTTCATATTTATCTCATAGAAGATACCCCAGACATGGTATACATTGTCAGGATTGACAGTTTAAAAAGTAGGGTACTGTTGGTGTTGGGTAATGAGTTGAGGCTTCTCCCTAGACTGAGAGGTATTCACTGTGTCCTTAGGCTTGCAATGCTTGGTATTGTTGCCAAAGCAGACTGTGTCCACTGCTCTTATTCTTTCCCAGGGCGGTATTCTCAAATAAAATTACGAAAGGATCTTGATTACAACATAGCATTTGAAAAATCACTACAAGAGGGATCAAGTAATATGAGGACAAAGAGTTGGAAAGTAATAATCATAATTCCAGGCTCTAGTGGCCTTAGTTGTTTATGAGCATTATGAAACATGGCTTTGAGATCAGAATATTCTGGATACTAATGTCATATTCCATATCCCAATGTCACTAGACTCCAAACTAGATTTGGAGGTGGCTGTCATTCCAACTAAGAGTGATGGACAAAAGGGCATCCTGCTGTATGCTCTGGACCACTGGACTAGAGATATATTGTCCCTCAGCCCAAGACCTCCCTTTTAGACCAGGCTGATTTTGAAACCTATTCAGACCTCTGGGCCAATTGTTTCTGTTCCATGTTGTCCTTTCCACACCTCTTTAATTTCTGTGTCTCATCTTCTCAATTTCTAAAACAAAGATTTGGCATCTGATCTTTTTAGTATTTATAAGTATATAATGAATAAAGTTAATATGCTTTTGGATATATTAGCTAGATGGTTTGATTCACTAATAGGATGGACTCTAGATTATTTCGGGTCCTGGGCATCTGATGGAGCAGGAATGATTAATAAATGAAAGATGAGAAGGGATTTGAGTTAGTCTTGACTGAGAAGGAGCAAAATCACATTGATAATTTCATTTACTAGACTCAGTAGTATTTCTGCATTGTGTTTTAAACCACTTATACTGCATAAGTGGGCAAAGTTGAATAAACTCGGTTATAGTATTGAACACTCACTCAAGGTACCCATTTCTTGAAGTCTATAAAACCTTTATTTTTACACAAGTTACATTTTAAAATCTAAAGTGTAATACATTTAACTGTATTCCAAATTTGCAATTAAGCAAGGAGTACTCAGTGGTTATAATCTCCTTTTCTCCGGTGCCAGGCTGGAGATGATTTTAAGAAACAATGCACACTAATTTGGTGACAATAAGATGCACTTTTATTTTTGTTGTTCAATCAGCATCAATGAAACAGGTCAAATGACACTGGAATCCCCATGTGTAACTATCAGTGTATCTGATAGTTAACGGTTCCACACTTATCCATCTAATGACAGTATCTCCTACAAAGTGGTCCTTTTGAAAGTCTGGGGCCTTGCAGCAGATTCAGTCTGAGAACTTCCTTTGGTGTCTGAAACTTGTTCAAATCAACCCAGCATACACTATTTAAAGGTGTTGAGATATAAAAACTATATCCGCAAGAAATATTTGAATGACTTTTTGTTAGTATAAAAGGATGAGCATTGCATATATAAATGCTACAGTGACTTAACATTAATTATACGGAAGTCTACTGTTTTAAGTAGAAAATTTTGGAACCATGAAAAATAGAAGTATCTTGATTTACATTGTTCTTACTTCTATTTTCTCAATACAGGTACCAGAGTTGGATTATTTCTTCTATAAGGCTAAATGGCTTTCAATTTTTATACAGATTGTGTTTTTGCTCTGTTTATTTAGCATAGCCTTCTATTTGCTGCATAAGATGATGTAGCAAAGGGAAATACAGAATGTGGCAACTTTGTGACATATAAAAGGAAGCGATGGAGGATTTGGTGAAGGTAATTATCAAAACCTCACTTATGAATCCATGGTTGCTTTAGTTTTCTTGGGATTAGTTGAAGGCATATTTGGAAGAAGAATGGAAATGGAAGAAGACGCTGCAATATGAAAACCAGCATTCTCCACGAAGGTCTCATTAGAGTTGGTTGAAAATGTGTGCTCCCTTTAGGTGCCACTAACACTATGAGCGCATAGCCTAAGATTTTGTAGTCTCATTCTACCTTACCCTTAGGATCTTGAAAGGCTAAGATCCTAAGCCTGATATTCACAATATTTTAATATTCTATAATGCTGAATTTTTATTCTATGAGAGCAAATTTGTTTATTAGAACCACTGCCAATTCATTCAGGTTCAATAATGATAAATATATTAAGAGATTAGCCCAGGATACATAATTATAAAAGATCATCTTTTTAACCTGGAATTATATTAGAGAACTAATATACGCACCTGGGTAAAAATATAACCTGCCCAACAAAAATAGAAATGAAAACTAAAAGCCTCTTCCCCCAACCTAACACCAGTGTAACTCCCTATAGACAGTGTTAACAGCTTTTTGTTTTGATTTTATGTGGATATTGTTTGTCTTTAAAAAGTGAACTTAGATCTGTTTCATGATATATTACCAGTAGACAGAAGTTTAAAAATAACAATGAAAATTAGGAGGCATTGTATTGTACCATTAAACACCTATTCTTCCCAATTTTACTGCCCAATTGTTAGTACTTGTGTCAATAAGTATTTCATTTGTTGTTTAGTTGACATCATTAAAATTAGTTTAAATCATTATTTCTGCACACATAAGAACTTCTGTCAACTTTAGACAGAATCTGTTGCACTTCCTGTATGAAAGATGTGAAATTGGGGCACCTAATGTTCTTTTACTAATATTCTTATTAATTTTTTCCCATTTTCTTAGCCATTTTATTTTGCATCAAGAGTTATGACATTACATTTTCCTCTATATCTATAATTGGGTTTTTGATTGTGTCTATAGTTTGATTCTAAAACCACATATTCTAAAACTAATATCAATTTAAAACTTCAATGTCCATTCATTACAGAACTAAATAGAATGAAGAAAATGTAACCTAATATTGTTAAAAGTTACTGCTGAAAGAAAACTACTGAGTGCCAGTAACTGATAGATTGTCTTGTTTCTGGACCAGGTTTAGTTGCCAAGCTTTCTTCTACTCATGTGACCAGACTCATTTTACATTTGTTCCCAGATGATATGCCTATAGGAAGTTTGACTGGATATAGAAATCTATGAAAATGTGTTTGATAATGTAATTATTCTGTAGATCCAGCATTCCTGATAAGAAGTCTGATAGTCTGGATAAAATATAGTGTTTTCCATTTAAAAGATACAGTTATAATATTCTATTTTTCCTTGTGGTTGTGAAAAATCATAAATGAATGCCTAGGTTTGAGGGAGTTGTTTCAAATAACATAGATACTTCAAATCTGACAATATTTTCCCTCATATCCATTGTTTCTTTGATTCTGTCCTCCTTTCTGTTTCTGCTTTTTCATCCTGGAACTCTTAACTAGGATTAGGCTAAGAACCTGTATGTATAATACCTTCTCAGTAAGCTTGCTTTTCTATCTTTTTCTGTTGTTTTGTCCTTTCGTTTTTCTATATTATGGAGATTTATTTCAATTCCATTTTTGCAAATATTTTTATTTTTGTTCATGTCCTTTTTGTAATTCAGATTAACTACTTAAAAGTGTAAGCAATTTGTCAAGTATGTATTTTAGAGTTAACATATAACACATTGTATAATTATGTTATATGCATTTATATGTACACATATATAGCATTTTTTATTCTCAGATTGCTTCATTTAAAACATTCTTGTTCTGTTCACGAGTACATTGTTTTTGTTTTGTTTTTTGTGGGTTTTTGTATTTTTTTTTTTTTTTTTTTTTTGAGACAAGGTCTTGCCCTATTGCCCAGGCTGGAGTGCAGTGGCTCTGTCATGGCTCATTGCAGCCTTGACCTACTGGGCTCAAGTGGTCCTCACACCTCAGGCTTCTGATGAGCTAGGACTACAGATGTGCTCCACCATGCCTGGCTAATTTTTCTTTTGTAGCGATGGAGTCTCACTATGATGCCCCAGCTAGTCTAGAACTCCTAGGCTCAAGTAATACCTCATGAATACGTTCTTAAACATTTGCTTTTGTTTACTCATTTGTCTGTTTCCCTCAGGGGTCATTTGTTTAATTCCTTCATTGTTGGCATTCTCTTTCAAGTCTTTTTTTCTCTTCTCAAATGCTTAATGATTTCTACTTATTTGTGAATATCTGTGAATAAAGAAACATAGAAGGGATTACAAAGAGAAGATATAATCATGGTGGGATCCTATCCTCAATCTGAGCTGGAAGAATTTCTAATTTTGGACTGAAATCCAGTATGAAATGAGATAATATGACTATTCTTTTTGTCTTGCAAATTTGCTTTGGTATTAACAAAAATAGGAATTACCAATTAGACAATTATACCATCACTGGAAGCACAATATACAGAAATGATGCTTCTTTCAAGGAAAGAAAATCTCATTCGAATGCAGAATGCAACTCTGTCAATGTTATTTTTTAAATTTCTGAGTAGTCACAACACATAAAACAGAAAAAGTACAAAAATTTACTTTTAGTTAATACTATTTTCATCTGTTTCATTTTCAACAAAATTCTGTCAGTATATTTAGGTATACAGTCTTATTGATTCTAAACATTCTATGAAAGGCATGTTTCATGTCTGTGTAAGTTTGGGTATACAAGCAGATTAATTTATCTCATTAAGAAATATTTGGTCCATATGTGCTTGGCATGCCACAAACATGCATATGTAATGGTGAATAAAACAGAATGGATCTGTTTCCCTGGTGGATAAGATATGAAATAAACACATAACAAATAAATTACAGATGTAATATATGAAAGAAAAACATGGGGTCCAGAAGGAAAATAAATAAATATAGGTAATCAAATATTATCCTTTAATGGATTGATATTTAAGCTTAATAAAATTAGTAAGAGAAGGAGAAAATGACTCCTGAAAAGAGGGTGTAGGTGAACATTCCAGAAAGAGAAAATAGCAGATGTGAAAGCTTGATGTGGGAACAAGATGGGTTCAACCAAACAGCAATGCTATTAGGAAGAAAGAGAGGTAAGAAAAGGACAAGGATGGTGAAGAAGATAGAGGCTAGATGATGTAGGACTTTGTCCTAATAAAATGGGAAGTTATGGAATTATTTTAAATGTGTGATTAGAGTGATGGAAGTTTCTGTTAAAGATCAATTTAGCTTCTGTGTGAACGATGAATAAAATAAGAGAAAGTATAATTTGATCATTGTGAAAAGTTTAAATTGTGATGTTGTTTTTACTTAGATGGGAATCTTTGTAAATCTACATTTATGTCATACAGTGGATATATATACTGTTCTTTCTCACCCGGAACCCATTATTTTTTCTTTTGGTGTCTCAACCTTAAATTATTAGTCCCCAGTGGTCTTACTTCTTATTTCCATAGTAGGTCAATTGAATGTTTTATGTTAGAACTTTAAGTCTTATTTTGAGGATAAAAAAGATTATAAATTGTTGGAGTCAGTACACCCAGACACAGAATGCTGGGAAAAATTTCAATTAGTTCCTGTTACGTGGATACTTGTTGGCTTCCAGAGGATGGTTTGGGGTATCTGGATCCTTTCAAATCTCCATCAGCCTTTCGTTTTCGTTTATTTAGAGGATGTATATTTTTTCTTTCAATATTTTGAAAGTGCAATTGAAATGCAGCTTTCAGAAAAATTTCCCTAGGCCAGTCCCCTCCTTACTAGTGTTTGTGAGAATTTCTTCTGGTTACATTGTGTAACCATCAGTATTTGTGTCCTTGCAAGACATGGTGCTTCAGCTATCCTTTTTACTCTGTAAAATCCTCCAAATCCCTCTTAAACATCGTGTTACTACTTAAGCCAGGTTGAATTTCTGTTAATTGCAACCACAAAACTTTAACAGATACACAACAGCCTCAAATACAAAAGTAACTAACCATGTAACATTGACAGCAATGGAATGAGAAAAGGACCTCTAAAAACTCCATGAAAACAGTAAGAACAATGGCAAAAAGTCAAGATCAACTTTTTCATTACTCAGAATTAACAGCCCACGCAAGAATTCAAGGGAGGTTTATTTTAAAAAGGGACCCAATCTCTGTAAGAACAGTGAGAACAGTGAGCTTCCAACATTTTAACATGCTCACACCCGCTTTTCATTCCGTAGAAGCCTTGAAAGTCAATAACCACACAGTCACTGCAGCCTTGAAGATCAGTAGACAGCCGGGCACAGTGGCTCATGCCTGTAATCCCAGCACTTTGGGAGGCAGGGGTGGGTGGATTGCCTGAAGTCAGGAGTTCAAGACCAGCCTGGCCAACATGGTGAAACCCCGTCTCTACTAAAAATACAAAAATGAGCTGGGCACGATGGCAGGTGCCTGTAATCCCAACTACTTGAGAGGCTAAGGCAAGAGAATGGCTTGAACCAGGGAGGCAGAGGTTGCAATGAGCCAAGATTGCGCCACTGCACTCCAGCCTGGGTGCCTGAGCAGGACTCTGTCTCAAGAAAAAAAAATTAAAAAATAAAAATCAGTAGACAAGCAGCCACTGAAGGGGGAGAACAAGTTTGGAGATAACAAAGAGTGCCATCCCCAAACAGTGGTACTTAACCAACCCATCCTGTGGTTTCCTGGAAACCTCCACCGACAGGGATTTTCTGTTATTGTCCTGACTCAAAACTTGCTCATTTTGGGCAGTTGGTCAACAATTGTTTAACATCCCAGCTTCCTGAAGCAGTTGAAACAAATGGGACAATTAAAAACTAAGCAAAAAACAAATTAATGAAAATTTTGGAATATGAAATGTCCATAGGAAGCTTTGTAAATCTTTGATCTGCTCCTGGGAATCTAGAAGACCACCTGCATCTTCAGGAATGTGTGTGTACCCAGAAAAAGACTTAAAAGACCCTAATTTCTCAGCTGTGGCTGATCTTGAGATTCTGTACCAACCAGAAATAAATGCTAAGACAGAGCTGTAAACACTCTGAATGCATAAAAACACACTCCAGTACACAAATAGAACCCCATCAGCAAAAGCTAGAGGACTTATAAGTTCAAGGTATTTATGAAAATCTTTGTCCAGTCTCTTCTTGACTAGTAAACTGAGCAGAAACTTAATTGGTCACACATAATGAAGATTAGTGATTTTACAGAATTAGTTTTGAAAACTCAATAAACAAACCAAAAACTACAAACGAAAAAAATCTTTTTTAAAATTTTTTTAAAGATGGAGTCTTGGACAGGCTGGAGTGCAGTGGCACAATCTTGGCTCACTGCAGCCTCTGCCCCCTGGTTTCCAGCGATTCTCCTGCCTCAGCCTAATGGGGAGCTGGGATTACAGGCACACGCCACCATGCCCAGCTAATTTTTGTATTTTCAGTACAGACAGGGTTTCACTATGTCTATTCTGTTTTTGTTCAACTTTTTAAGATTTCATATAAATAAGTGAGACACTATTTGTCTTTATTTCACTGACAATGACCTCCCACTTCATCTGTGTTGTTGAAATGGTAAGATTTCCTTTTTTATGGTTAAACAAAACTAACAATAGTAACAACAATAAACGGCAACAATAACAAGCCTTGGTGAGGAGAGGGATCCAATTTGCAAAGTTGCAAAAGTTTATTACTTAAAATGCCCAATTATCTTTTTTTTTTTTTTTTTTTTTTTTTGAGATGGAGTCTCGCTGTGTCGCCCACGCTGGAGTGCAGTGGCGTAGTCTCCGCTCACTGCAAGCTCTGCCTCCCGGGTTCACGCCGTTCTCCTGCCTGTAGTCCCAGCTACTCGGGAGGCTAAAATGCCCAATTTTCAACATAAAATAACAAAAATTAAAAGAAATAAGAAAGTATGGCCCATGCACAGGAAGAAAAATCGTGAATAGAAACTGTCCCTGACAAAACCCATGTTATAGAGTTAATAGAAATTTTAAATCAATTATTTTTTTAAACTTCCAAATAAGCAAATGGAGCATATGTTAAAGTATGAGAAAAATGTCTCACCAAATACAGAATAACAATCAAGCCATAAAATTGATTTTTTTAAAACCACATAAAAATTCTGGAGCAGAATTATCTAATAACCTTAAACAAAAATTTCACTAGAGTGGCTCAATAGCAGATTTGAGACGGCAGAATAAAAAATGAATGATCTTGAATGTATGTTAATTGACATATCTCATTTGAGAAAGAAAAAAGTGAATAAAAATAAACACAGCCTCAGAATCCTGTGAGTCACCGTCAAGTATACCAACATACTTAGAATGGCAGATCCAGAAGTAGAGGAGAATAAAAATCCAAAAGGATATTTGAAGAAATGGTTGAAAACTCCATAGAATTAATTTAAAAACATTAATCTACAGATCCAAGTAGCACAAAAAGCCCTAAGCAGAACACAAAATGTAATCAGCATGCAGACACATCATACTATAACGTCAAAAGACAAGGACAGGCCGGGCGCGGTGGCTCACGCCTGTAATCCCAGCACTTTGGGAGGCTGAGGCAGGCGGATCACGAGGTCAGGAGATCGAGACCATCCTGGCTAACACAGTGAAACCCCGTCTCTACTAAAAATACAAAAAATTAGCTGGGTGTGGTGGCAGGTGCCTGTAGTCCCAGCTTCTCGGGAGGCTGAGGCAGGAGAATGGAGTGAATCCAGGAGGCGGAGCTTGCAGTGAGCCAAGATCGCGCCACTGCACTCCAGCGAGACTCTGTCTCCCCCTCAAAAAAAAAAAAGACGATGACAAATTCAAATCTTCAAATTGGCAAGAGTTAGGCAATCTATTATATATGGGTCATTTTCGGTAAGATTACTAGATTATTTCTCAACAGAAACCCTGGAGACAGGCACTGGGATGGCATATTCAAGGTACTAAAATAAAGAATATTGTCAGCCAAGAATTTAATGTTCAGCAAATCTATTCAACAATGAAGGAAAAATTAAGACATTCCCAGAAAATCAAAATTCAAAGAACTATTCGTTAGCATACCTTCCCCAAAAGAAATGATAAAGGGAATGTTCAGGCTGAAAGAAAGAGACACGAGACAATAACTTGCATGCACAGGAATGAATAGCACCATACAGGTAACTACATCTGTAAATTTAAAGAAAGTATAAGTGCTTTTTTGTTTGCAACACTGTGTGTGTGTTTCTATCTTATTTAAAAGGTGACTGAAAAAAGCAATAACTTAAAAAATTTGTTTCTAAGATTAAAACACAAAGATTTAAGTTGTGTGATGATAAAAGGAAAATGGAATTAAGTAATGATGTTACATAAGAGCAAAGTTTTTGTATACTATTGGAATTAATTTGGCATAAATTTAAATTAGGTTGTTATAATAAAAGATGTTATTTTAATCCCTAGGTTATTTCTAAGAAAATAACACACTAAGGTAAGCAATAACGAAATTAAAATACTACACTGGAAAAAAGAAAACCCTTGAAAGAAGGTGATAACAGAAAAAACAGGATAACAAGGTATAAGATAAACGTAGAAAAATAGCAAAATAGCATCTGTAAATCATACCTTATCAGTAATTATATTAGATCGAAATGGATTAAATGCTCCAAAAAGCAAAGTAGGCAGAATTGATATTTTTAAAAGTATAATTTAATTATGTAGTCTACACAAAACACACTTTAGACTCAAAGACACAAAAGACTGAATGTAAAAGGATAGAAAAACATACACTATACAACTGTAAGTAAAATATAGTTACTATATAAGACAAAAATTGTTGATAGAAACAAAGACAAATATTCAGATAAAAGGGTCAACAAAATATACAACCCATGTGAAATGGACAAATTTCTAGAAAGATACAAGCTGCTCAACCAACCCAAGAAGTAAACAATCTGAATAGACCTATATAAAAATAGATTGAATTAATAGTCAAACATTTTCCACAAGGGGAAACCAAGAATCAGATGATATCATCTGTGAATTCTATCCAACATTTAAAAAGCAACTAATCTCAATCCTTAACAAAGTTTTTCAAAAAATGGAAAATTATGGGGCATTTTCCAACACATCTTATGTAGCCATTATTATGCTACTACTGAAAATAGACAAAGACATCACAAGAATGGAAGAAAAAAACTATAGGCCAATATCTCTTATGATATATACACAAAATTCTCAAGAAAGTAATAAGCTGAATTTAGGAATATACAAAAGTGATTTTGCACTTTGGCCAAGTAGAATTTATCCCAGGAATGCAAGGTTTAACATAAAAAACTATCAATGAAATGTACTGTACTTATAAAGGAAAAAATGACCAATAGATGCAGAAAAAAAATTGATAAAACTTACCCTTTTATGATAAAAGCACTCAAAAAACTAGAAATAAAAGGAAAATGTTTAAAGCTAAGCAAGGGCATCCACACAAATCTCATATCTAACCTTGTAGCTAATGGTGAAAGATTGAAAGCTTTGCCTTGAAATAAAGAATAAGATGATGGCACCCATATTTGGAAAGAAGAACCAAAACTCTCTGTTTGCAGACTGTGAACCTATTTAAAGAAAATCTAAAGAAAACAACAAAAGTCTATTAGAGGTTAAAAAGTTTAGAGAGGTTGTAAGATACAAAAATATATTTTATTTCTATGCACTAGCAGAAAAACATGCCAAAAATGAAATTAAGAAAACAATACCATTTGAAACAGCAGCTTTTATAATAGTAAAATAAATACAATAGGTGGGGCATGGTGGCCCACACCTGTAATCCCAGCACTTAGGAAGACCAAAGTGGGGAGATCATTTGAGGTCAGGAGTTTGAGACCAGCCTGGCCAACATGGTGAATCCCCATCTCTACTAAAGATACAAAAATTAGTTGGGCATGGTGGCGTATGACTGTAATCCCAGCCACTAGGGAGGCTGAGTGGGGAGAATCACTTGAACCCAGGAGGCAGAGGTTGCAGTGAGACAAAACTGTGCCACAGCACTCCAGCCTGGATGACAAGAGTGAAACTCAGTTTCAAAATAAATAAATACAATAATTAGAAGTTAATTTTTAAATGAAATCCAAAACTGTTAAACCAAAAGGCACAAAATGTCATTAAAGGAAATTAAGAACTAAATGAAAAAAAAAGGAAACCCATCTTCATGAATTAAAAGATTTAATATTGTTCAAATAATAATGCTCCCCAAATTAATCTGCAGACTCAATTTAAACTGCATCAAAATATCAAATACCTTCTTTTTGCAAAAACTGACAAACTGTTCCTAATATTCGCATGGAAATTCAAGGAACACAGAATTGTGAAAATAAATTTAAGAAAGAAGAGCAAAGGTAGAATACTTGTGTGTGTATGTGTTGATGGGAGGTGTGATGAAGACATTTTGGAATTAGTGCACATGTTTGTGCATGAATATACCAAAACCATCTGAATTGTACACTTCAAAAGGGTAAATATTTTGGAATATGTATTTGTTTCCTAGAGGTGCCATAACCAATTGTATTAGTCTGTTTTCACACTGATGATAAAGACACACCTTAGAGTGGGCAATTTATAAGAGAAAGGGTACACTTACAGTTCTATGTGGCTAGGGAAGCCTCGCAATCATGGCAGAAGGCAAGAAGGAGTAAGTCACATCTTACATGGATGGCAGGAGGCCAAAATAGAGCTTGTGCAGGGAAACTCCCATTTTTAAAACCATCAGATCTCATGAGACTCATTCACTATCACAAGAACAACACAGGAAAGACCCGCCCCCATAATTCAATCACCAGGGTCCTCCCATGACATGTGGGAATTGTGGGAGTTACAATTCAAGGTGAGATTTGGGCAGGGGGGACACAGCCAAACCATATCATTCTGCCTCAGCGCCTCCCAAATCTCATGTTCTTGCATTTCAAAACAAATCATGCCTTCCCAATAGTCCCCAAAAGTCTTAGCTCATTTCAGCATTAACTCAACAGTCCACAGTGCAATGTCTCATCTGAGACAAGGCAAGTCCCTTTCTCCTATGAGCCTGTAAAATCAAAAGCAAGTTAGTTACCTCCTAGATACACTGGGGGTATGGGCATTGAGTAAATACAGCAATTCCAAATGGGAGAAATTGGCCAAAACAAAGGGGCTATAGGCCCCACAAATGTCCAAAATCCAGCAGGCAGTCAAATCTTAAAGCTCCAAAATGATCTCCTTTGACTCTATGTCTCACATCCAGGTCATGCTTATGCAAGAGGTGAGTTCCCATGATCTTGGATAGTTCTGCCCCTGTGGCTTTGCAGGGTGCAGCCTCCCACCCAGTTGCTTTCATGGGCTGGTGTTGAGTATCTGCAGCTTTTCCAGATAAATGGTGCAAGCTGTCAGTGGATCTACAATTCTGGGGTCTGGAGGACAGTGGCCCTCTTCTCACAGTTCCACTAGGTGGTGCCCCAGTAGGGACTCTGTGTGGGGGCTCCAACCCCACATTTCCCTCCTAGCAGAGGTTCTCCATGAGGGCCCCACCCTTGAAGCAAACTTCTTCCTGGGCATGTAGGTGTTTCCATACATCTTCTGAAATCTAGGCAGAGGTTCCCAAACCCCAATTCTTCTGTGGACTCACAGGCTCAACACAACGTGTGGAAGCTGCCAAGGCTTGGGGCTTACACCCTCTGAAGCCATGGCCTGAGCTCTATGTTGGCCCCTTTCAGCCACAACTGGAGCAGCTGGGACATAGGGCACCAAGTCCCTAGGCTGCACACAGCATGGGGACTCTGGGCCTGGCCTACAAAACTATTTTTTCCTCCTGTGTCCCTGGGCCTGTGATGGGAGGGGCTGCTATGAGACATCTGACATGCCCTGGGGACATTTTCCCCATTGTCTTGGGGATTAACATTTGGCTCCTCATTAGTAATGCAAATTTCTGCAGCTGGCTTGAATTTCTCCTTAGAAAATGAGATTTTCTTTTTTATCACGTTTTCAGGCTACAAATTTTTCAAATTTTTATGCTCTGCTTCCCTTTTAAAACTGAATGTCTTTAACAACGCCCAAGTCACTTCTTGAATGCTTTGCTATTTATACATTTCTTCACCAGATCCCCTAAATTACCTCTCACAAGTTCAAAGTTCCACAAATCTCTAAGGCAGGGGCAAATGCCACCAGTCTCTTTGCTAAAACGTAAGAGTCACCTTTGTTCCAGTTCTCAACAAGTTCCAGATCTCCATCTAGGACCTCCTCAGTCTGGGCTTTATAGTTCATATCACTCTCATCATTTTTGTCAAAGCCATTCAACAAGTCTCTAGGAAGTTCCAAACTTTCCTACATTTTCCTGTCTTCTGAGCCCTCCAAACCGTTCCAACCTTTTCCTGTTATCCAGTTCCAAAATTGCTTCCACATTTTTGGGTATCTTTCCAACAGCACCCAACTCTCAGTACCAATTTATTGTATTAGTGCATTTTCACACTGCTGATAAAGACATATCCGAGACTGGTAATTTGCAAGAGAAAAACGTTTCATGGACTTACAGTTTCACGTGGCTGGGGAAGCCTCACAATCATGGTGGAAGGCAAGGAGGAGCAAGTCACATCTTATATGAATGGCAACAGGCAAAAAGAGAGCTTGTGTAGGGAAACTCCCATTTTTAAAACCATCAGATCTTGTGAGACTCATTATCACAAGAACAGCATAGGAAAGACCTGCCCCCATAATTCAATCACCTCCCATTTGGTTTCTCCCTTGACATGTGGGAATTGTGGGAGTTAGAATTCAAGATGATTTTTGGGTGAGGACACAGCCAAACCATATCATGACTTAATACAACTTGGTGGCTTAAAACAACAGAAATTTATTTTCTCACAGTTCTTAAATCCAGAAATTCAAAACCAAAAGTTAGAGTGCACCATAATCTAGAATAGTTTATCATGAGATTCTTACCTAAATCTGTAAATATCCTATTTCCAAATAAAGTTACATCCTGAGATTCTGGATGAACATGAATTTTGAGGAGATGTTATTCAACTCACTCTAAGTTGCCCTCTGTCTTCCTAAATTCTTTACTTTTCTATGTGCAAGCCACATTCACCCTGTCTCAATATCCTGAATAGTCTTAACTAATTCCAGCATCAACTCTAACTCCTAAATCTGATATAACATCATCTGCTAACTAATTTCCAAATCTCATTGTCTAATTCATCTGAATCAGGTATTGGTTCCACTTTGTGTATGATCCATCTTGGGACAAAATCCCTCTCTATCTCCAGTTCTTAAAATTAGAAAACAACTTTTCTGCTTCCAAAATACAATGGTTGGATGGTTATATGATAGACATTTCCACTCCAAAAGGGAGATATTGGAAGTAGTAAGGGTCACTGGTTCCAAGCAAGACTGAAACCTAACAGAGCAAATTTTATTATGTTTCAGAGCCTGAAAATAATCCTCTGTGGCTTAATGCTCTTTCCTCTGAATCTGTGGTGGTGGCAGCCTCATTCTCTGAGCCCAAGGCTTTATCTTTGTAATCAGGTCTCCTTTTCAAGAAAAAGGAGACCTGATTCCAAATATATGTGGCAGCTGAGTAGTTCTATCAGCCTGCTTTCTACCTATAGAATTTTGAAAGTCTAATTACCTTCATTTGTTATTTTAGCTCTGTCTCTGTCAGTCCAGGTGCACCTTGTGTTCCCGCTTCCCCCAGGATAATGTTCTCAATAACCGATCCTCATGTATATGTTAAGAAGACAAACACAATTCAACAAAATGGTTTTCCAGTGATCCTTTCTGAATAATCCCATCTGTATTTCTGCTTTCTGCTAAAATGGTTGATTGGATCCATGAGTGATACAACTAATCTTTCAACAAAAAGCTGTTGCTATGGTTTGGGTGTGTCTTCCAAAAGTTCATGTGTTGAAAAGATAATGGTCTTTATAGTAGTATTAAGAGAGATGGTTCCTTTAAGAGGTGATTAGGCCATGAGGGTTCCACTCTCAGGAAAGGATTGATGCCTTTGTCTCAGAAGGGGGTTAATTATTGCAGGAGTAGACTCTCTACAAAAAGAATATTTCAGGTCCCATTTTGCTTTTTCTGTTTAGCATGCAAGCTTCTGCCTTTTTCCTTCTGCCATAGGATGACCCTCACCAGATGCTGGTACCGTGCTCCTGAGCTTCCCAGCCTTCAGAGTTATAAGCCAAATAAAGTTCTGTTGTTTATAACTTACCCAGTCTGTGGTATTCTGTTATAGCAGCAGAAAACAGACTAAGACAGCTGTCCAGCCACATTCTTGGCATTCTCCCCAGAGTATGCTTTCTCAACAGTACATTTCCTAATTTAGCATCCTTTGAAATCTGGATAGACCAAGGAACTCACAAGTCTCAAATTGATGGTTCCTTTTTGCTTAACAGTTCCTTCCTCAATTTATCTCTTCCTTTTCACATTTTACTCTAAACAGAAAGGAGAAATCAGACCACACCTTGCTTGGAAATCTCCTCAGCTATATATACAATTGTATCACTTACAAGTTCTGCTTTCCACCCAACTGTACAATGTAATTAAGCCAAGTTTTCTCTCACTTTATAACAAGAATCTCCTTTCCTCCAGTGTCCAATAACATGTTTCTCATTTCTGTCTGACCTCACCAGAAATACCTTTAACCTTTATATTTCTATGATTTTGTTTACAATGATATGTGTTTTCTCTAAGACAACAGCTTTCCCTACCATACTCCTCATTCCCATCTGAGCCTTCACCAGTACTGCCTATATTATCTATAGTTTTGTCAACATTCTCTTCAATGCAATCTAGGCTCTTTTCATCATGCATCCAAAAATGCTTCCACTTTCTATCTATTTCCCAATCCCAAAGCCACTTACATATTTGTGGGTATTTGTTATAGCAGCAACCCATTTCCCAGTACTAAAATATGTATTAGATTTTTTTAGGGTTGCCATAACTTTTTACCACAACTTAGTGGCTTAAGATAACAGAAATTCATTTTCCTACAGTTCTGAAGTCCAGAAGGTCAAAATCATAATGTTGTCAGGGCCTTACTTGCTCTGAAAGTATAGGAGAATCCTTCTTTGCCTCTTTCATCCTATGGTGACTCCTGGTTTTCCATATCTTTTGGCAGCATGACACCAGTCTCTGCTTCCATTTTCATATGGTATCATCACTGTGTGCATCAAACAAACATCCTTCTCCTTTCTGTTAAAAAGGTATCAGTCACTGGACTTAGGACCCACTCTAAATACAGGATAATTTTATCTTCACATATTTATTTAAATACGCAAATGATTATTTCCAAATAAGGTCACATTCTGAGATTCAAGTGGACATGAATTTTGGAGATACACTATTCAACCCACTATCTTATATGAATTATATCTCAATTTTAAAAACTGATATTAAGAACAAAAAAATAAGATGCTTAGTTCAGATACTATAATTACACTGAAACCTTTAATTATCCCACATTAGGAGGCAAATTTTATTAAATTTTATACTTTCAATGTCTGACACAAACACACAAAAAAGTAAGTGCATTGGGAAAATAATTATCCATTTAATGACTTTATTGGCTAGAGGAAGGAAAAAAAGTACACTGAATCCAATAATCATGGAGCTAATTGTTTTAACCATGCTTCAAACCAATAAGCAATTTAATCATGTTTGAAGGTTTAATATGTTTTCTTTTCAGTGAAGTATTTTAAATTATATGGTCTCCTTCCTGTGGCCAAATTGGCATTATATCAAATTATTATTTGAGTACTATGTGTCAGGCACTGTGTCAAGCATGTGTTAGTTCACTGCCTTGATCTGTTCAGGCTGCTACAACAAAGTACCTCAGAGTGGATAATTTATAAACAATAGGAATGTATTGTTCTGGAAGCTAGTTCTGGATGTTAGGAAGTCTGAGATCAAGGCACTAACAGATTTAGTGTTTGATGAGGGTCCATTGCTCACAGATGGCAACTTCTATGTGCCCTCACATGGCAGAAGGGGTGAACAAGCTCCTTGGGACTCTTTTATAAGGGCACTAATCTAACTGATGAAGACTCTGCTATCATGACCTAATCACCTTCCAAAGACCCCACCTTCTAATATCACCATGGGGATTAGCTTTCAGTATATGAATTTGGGGGGGTGGGGCACAAACATTCATTCTATAAAATTCACTTAGTTCTCACAATTTTATAAAGTACATACTCAAGTAATCTTAATTTTATGAAAAATAAAAACTCTGAGACTTTGAGAAGCCACACCACTCTCTCCTATTCATATAACTATTAAATGAGTTTTGAATTTATTTACCACTGACATGGATTTCAATTCAATGCATCTTTCTTGCTCATCCACAATGATGTAAGTCTCTATCTGATTGAAGAGTAATTAATTTTTCTAAAGGAAAGCTGCTCTTTCTGGTGATACATATTCCTCTTTTAACATGACAAATTTCAGGATCTAATGGTATTATTGAATTGCCATTTGGTTATGCTTTTCACATTTCAATTCACATTTTAATGCATTTTCATTTGATTCCCACAGCAACACTGAAACAAGGTTTAATAGGAATTATTATCCCCATATTATAAATGAAGAAAAAAAAAAGGTTTATATAGAGGTTATTCAGCTAGCCCATGGGCTTACATTTACTATAAAGCTTACTCAATTGGCTCCAAGGCCAGCTGTATAATCCACAGTATTATGTCTCTCTAAGTTTCTAATGTTTCATTAAAGCCTTGAATAATTCATACAAGTAAACTTTATTAATAGTGATTGCTCCTCTCTGTCAGATAAAGAAACACTACAAAGTTCTCTATTTTTATCTCACATAAATTGTTCAACTCTGGGCTATCCTCACAAATTTCATTGTCCATCATTACAATGTTGCCCCAGATCTCAGGGGAGAGAAACTTTCCATTCCTTCAATAACCTAAGGGTAGAAGGCACTAGAGGATACATTGCCCGAACAATTAGAAATGGAGACCTAAGACATTCTGATTGAACACACACTAAAAGGGGGTGACAGACTTAATGTGTTAGGAAAACTGAGACAAGAATTGAATTTATTTCCATGCCATTCTCTTCCAGCTCTAAATAGAGTCAAAGCTAAGACATCAGTGTTGGCAGTAAGAAAGAAGAGATGAGCTAGCATGTACAATTAGGGAGGAGAAGGAAATTCTTGTAAGCATAAAATTTACAACTCTAAGGGGTTCAATGGAGCTCCCTTGGGCAATTAATACAGGTTCCACACAAACATGCACTGGCAGATAAATGGTTCTGTACCCAAACTTTCCTGAGAGAGATGGATAATTTTAGAAACTTTGGCTGATCTGGGAGTAGGGGCACCTCGGACAGATTGACTGAATGGGAAATATGAATTGCAAAGACATAATGTCAGAGCAGAATGAGTAGTTAAAAATGCATAGTTTAAAAGACTCTCAGAGAAGATGGCCTTTTACTAATGGGGGATTGTAACTAGAGCTGAGGGTTCTGAAATGTTTACCTTGAAAGTAAGACTGGCAAAGTCCCTGTGATGTCAAGGAGTTTAGAGCAAAGCCTTAAAACTTCCTGGCTGTGAGTCTACAACAGCCTACCATTTTATTGTGAAATATCCCTTTGGTTTTACTAATAAAAATTAATGAGTTTCCAAAGTTTCCTTTTCAGTCCGTAAGTGCTTAATTGCCTGGAGCTGAGCTGTTCCTCAGGGCTCCACCCACTGGAGGGTAGAGCCGTTTTTTTCCTCCAATCATTATAGAAAACCTGTCTAAATTTCCTTTATGCACATAGAATATTTGAGCAAATTTTAATTCTTAATATATTCTCTTTAAAGTATTAAAATGATCTCAAAATATGTGAATTTGGCTTAAAAATGATCAGACTCAAAACTCTATAAGCTATATTCATGATTGTAATTTTTACTAAAAGAGAACCTTTATGTTGATTTTTATAACTTCTCAAAAATCTTGCCATACATTTTTGAAATACTTGAAGTAATGTATAGATTGAGCGGATTGATCATCCGCTAAACTGTTCTCAGCTAGATGCTGAAAACCTGGGGAGCAATCAAGTTTCTATTAAGTAAATAAATGAATTAAGCAAGAACACATTTAGTATATCAAGATTTGCAAAGATCTGGCTTTCAGGAAGGCTTTAGATTTTGTTAATGCATTCAGGACACCAAGCACTACATCATCAGGAGAAAACACTGTGTTTGATTTTCATAAGACATATTATTAAGAAATTTTTGGTGCTTAAGGTCATAGTTAGGCACACATAGTATACACTTAATGGATTTCTCAATAGTCCTGAAGGTCAGGTGGAATTAGCCACATGTTGCTGCTAAGGAAACTTAAGCTCAGAGAGAGTGAAATAAGTCCTCAAGTTTCTACAGCTAGAAAGTAGCTGAGCCTGTATTGACCTCCAGTTCTCCACTCCGTGGTAATCTAAAGCCTAGACTCTTTCCAGAAGGTCCGGGTATTTCTCCCTGAATTAACATTTTATGAGGCTTGGAGAAAAATCTTGTTATTTGAGTTTCTACATTTTGGATTTCAGGATAAATGTTTTACCATATCAGAGCTGAATTCCCACTTGTGTTATCATCCCTGTAGCCTTTTCACAAAACAATGAACTGGACATACTATCCCACACCCTTTTGCTCACATTTGTATTCTAGTAGCAGAATGAATCCATGTTCAGTCTCCTTGTAAACATAACAAAACTGCCCTTTCACTTGGACAGTGCTTCAGAACAAGTGATTTTTTTTTTTTTTTTTTTTTTTGTGACAGAGTTTATGATTTTGGTCTGGTGAATGAATAAAATTGAAGACTTAGAAGATTTGGCTGTTCTTATGTCCTAAATGTAAAATGTTTCTAAAGCCAGTGTTCCTGCCTCACAAATGATAGGCGAAGTGTGCAGCACTGTGATACCAAAGCTTAATGTGGCCAGGCCTTGAACTTTCTGTCTCCATCTGACTTTCTAACATTTAGCGGCTAGAATACAAAACGGTCTGCTGCGGCTCTGCCTCCTAGGTGTCGGAAAGAGCAAATGCTGAAGGACTTTCAACTCAATGGGCTTCACACAAACTGTACCCCAGAGAGAAAATCTAAGCAGTGCTTCAGGCAGGTGCATGATGTGGTTCAGAGGCAGAAAACATTTGACTCATGAGCAGGAGGCGCTAAAATAGAGCTTTGGGAAGAAAGAGGGGATCAAGCAATGATGGGAGCAATATTGCCTCTGAGTTCCAACATTTGCACTGCTTCAGTGGCCATCTCTTTCCCAGGGCTTAGGGTTCAGCAAATAGCAGAGAGATCAGGTGAGGCAGAGGGTGCAATATAAGCACACTAACTCCAAACAACCTGAAGATGGGAGGGGCATTACTCCTTCCAAGCAGAAAAGGAAGGATACTTGCATCCCCCAAAAAGAAGAAATTTCCAGGAACCTGTGATTAGCTCAAAGGGCAAAAAGGCATTATATCCACAAGGGTTTTCTAATTTCCTTGCAGAGCAGAAAAATAAGTTGTTGTTTGTGTTCCTCCCGTTCTCCCTTTTCCCCCTCTCCTGCTCCTCTTCTTCTCCCTTCTTTTTTTTATTTTTATTTTTTGCTTTATAACAGGCTTGGCAGAATTTGTAACAGTTTTTTAAACACATCCTGCAGGTAAAATTTAATTTGTATGTTACTCTCTAACAAGATGATTTGGTTTTACAGTGATTGATGAGACTAGGACTGTCTTCATGGTTTTGGGGAGAATGCTCTGGATTCAGGAACAGCCTGATGGTTTGTATTTGCTCACCAGAGGGCGTAGCCCTCTTTTTAAGGGCAAAACTCTTTAATGTGAATACTCTGTAGTCAGAAATTTCATAATGAAGACTCTGACTTGAACCTATGGATTTAAAAGGCAGTCAGTAGGGGACCTATAACAATGAAAACAGAACTCCATTAACGTCAACAGAAATTTAGGTGTACTAAGCACTTTGCTTAGCTTGCAGGTAGTAGCTGCCTATCCAAAAGTGGATTTTACATGGGATGACCTTTGTGTGTGTGTGTGTGTGTGTTTGAGATGGAGTGTTGCTCGCCACCTCCAAGGTTCAAGCGATTCTCCTGCCTCAGCCTCCCAAGTACCTGGGATTACAGGCATGTGCCACCACACCTGGCTAATTTTTTTTGTATTTTTTTAGTAGAGATGGGGTTTCACCATGTTGGCCAGGCTGTTCTAGAACCCCTGACCGCAGGTGATCCACCCACCTCAGCCTCCCAAAGTGTTAGGAGCCACCATGCCTGGCCGGGGATGACCTTTGTAGAATATTTCTTCTATATGTATTTATTTTATTTGATTTGGAAATATTGGTCACATTAGTCTCTAAAACACAACTCCTTTAAGAAATAGTCTGATTTGGCAGAATAAGCTGTGAGACCACTGTGATCTTTGTTCATTATTGATCTTTCTTAATATAGATCTTGCCAAAGATTGTGCATCCAATGGGTTAACATTGCTTGCGGTATTGATTCTTTCATCCCCTGTGGAGGCTAGAACAGGCCTAGAGGCAGCCAAAGCCCATGGGCTAGTCACCTCTAACCTCAAACAGCCTCATCAAATTACCACAGTGTACTGTGCAAATATTATCATATTTGGTATGTACCAATACTGTTAAGCTCTGTGATACCTTGTAAATTCTAGACTAGTCATTTTGAAGTCAATAGACCCGCCAAAAAATAACAAAGAAAACAGTGATGAGAACATTTCTTCTATACCTAATTTGTATGCATTTTTATCATAAAGGACGATGAATTTTGTCAATTGCTTTTTCTGCATCTATTGAGATGATCATATGATTTTTGTCCTTTATTCTGTTAATACAGTGTTTCCCATTTATAGATTTGTTTATGTTGAGCCATCTTTACATCCATAGAATAAATCTTAATTGATCATGGTGAATGATCCTTTTAATGCACTCCTGAATTCAGTTTGCTAGTATCTTGTTGAGGATTTTTGTATCTATGTTCATCAGTGCCTGTGGTTTTCTTTTTGTATAGTGTTCTTGTCTGGCTCTGGAATCAGGGTACAACTCTGGCCATGTAAAATGAGTTTGGAAGTATTCCATCGTCTTCAGTTTTTTTGAAGGAGTTTAAGTATTAGCCCTTTTAAACATATTTGGTAGAATTCAACAGTGGAGCCATCTGGTCCTGGGCTTTTTTTTTTTTTTTTTGATGGGAGACTTTCAGTTACTGATTCAACCTCCTTACTCGTCATTAGTCTGTTTAGATTTTCTAAAAGTCTTCATAGTTTGTATGTGTCTAGGGATTAACATATTTTTTACAGGATATTTCACATTTTGCGTATAATTGTGGATACTTGTCTCATGTTTGCATTTCTGTGGTATGACTTGTTCCCTCTTTCATTTATTATTTTATTTGAGTCTTTTTTTTCCTTTTCTCTGTTAGTCTACATAAAGCTTTTCAATTTTATTTATCTTTGCAAAAAGCCAAATAATTAGTTTCCTGGGTCTTTTCTGCTTTTTCTAGTCTCTATATCATTTATTTCTGCTCTGATCCCTGTTGTTTCTCTGCTTCCTCTGGGTTTAGTTTGTTCTTCTTTTTCTAGTTTGTTGAAGTGTAACATTATCTTGTCTATTTGAAATCTTTCTTTTTAATTGATAGATAGTATTTGTACATATTAGGTACATGCATTTTTGATACATGCAATGTGTAATAGGGAAATTGGGGTACCATCACCTCAAATATTTATTTTTTTTTGTGATGGGAGTATTCTAAATCTTCTTTTCTATCTATTTTGAACTATACCATAAATTTAGTTAACTATAGTCACCCTACTGTGTTATCAAATGGTAGAACTTATTCCTTCAATTTAACTGTATTTTGTACTCGTTAACCAACTTTGTCCCCTCTGCCCCCTATACTTCTCAGCTGCTGGTGACCACCATTCTTATCTCTACTCCATGCTTCTCATTACCTATATGAGATCAAGTTTTTTTTTTTTTTAGCTCCTACATATGAGTGAGAACATATGCTATTTATCTTTCTGTGCCTGACTTACTTCACTTAACATAATACTCACAGATAACATTATACTAAATGGTGAAAAGTTGAAAGCTTTCCCTCTAAGAGCAAGAGAAGATAAGGATACTTAATCTCATCATTTCTATTCAACACAGTACTGAAAGTCCTAGCTAGAGCAATTGGCCAAGAGGAAGAAATAAAGACATCAAAATCGGGAAGAAAAGAGTTCTGATGCAGACAGCATGATCTTATATATTGAAAACCTTAAAGACTACTGAAAAAAAAAAAAACAAACCTGTTACAAGTAAGAAATGTCCTGAGTAAAGTTACAAAAAATAAAATCAACAAAGAAAAGTCAGGATCATTTCTATACACTAACAATGACTGTCTGAAAAAAATCAAGAAAGCAATGCCATTTACAGTGGCTGCAAAATAAAATAAAATAAAATACTTAGGAATACATTTACCCAAGGAAATAAAAGACTTATACACAAAAAACTATAAAACACTGATGAAAGACATTAAAGAACACAGAAAATAAGTGAAAAAAAAAGTATCCTATGTCCATGGATTGGAAGGGTTAATATTATTAAAATGCCCATTTGAGCGTTATTAAATTGACCAAAGTAATCTACAAATTTAATGCAAACCTATCAGAATTCCAAAATCATTTTATCAGAAATAGAAAAAGCAATCATAAAATTAATATCAAACCACAAATGACCCCAAATAACAAAAACAATCTTGAGCGAAAAGAACAAAGTTGGAGGCATCGCAGTCTCTGATTTCAAAATATCATACAAATCTATAGCAATCAATACAGCATGGCACTGCCATAAAAACAGAAACATACACCAACAACATAACTGATAGCACAGAAACAAGTTTGTGCATTTATCAACAGATTTTTCACAAAGATGCAAAGAATACACAATGGGAAAGGACAATCTCTTCAATAAGTTGTGTTGGGAAAATGGATATTCACATGCAGAAGAATATGAAATACTTATTCCACACCATATACAAAAATCTACTCAAAATGAATTGAAGACTTACATGTAAGACTTGACTTTGTAAAACAATTAGAAGAAAACGTAGGGAGAAAGCTCCATGATTTTCGTCTGGGCAATAATTTTCTTTTAATATCCCTAAAGCATAAGCAACAAGAGCAAAAATTGACAAATGGGATTGAATCACACTAAAAAGCTTCTTCATGGTAAATTACACAACCAATAGAATGAAGCAACAACCTATAGAATGGATGAAAATGTTTGAAAACCATTTTTCTTCCTTTTTAAAAAAATTTGAGACACGATCTGCTCTGTCATCCAGTCTAGAGTACAGTGATACAATCATGGCTCACTGCAGCCTTGAACTCTTAGGCTCCCATCTTGACCTCCCAAAGTGCTGGGATTACAGGAATGAGCTACCACACCTGGCCCAAACCACACACTTGATAAGGGGTTAATACCTAGAGTATATAAGAAATTCACACCACTCATTACCAAAAAAACAAATAACCTGATTTTAAAAATAGGCAAAGGACCTGAATAGACATTTCTCAAAAGAAGACCAACAAGCAGCCAACAGATATATTTTTTAAAATGGTCAACACCACTAATCATCAGGAAAATGCAAATTAAAATTATAATGAGATGTTAACCTCACACCTGTTGGGATGGCTGATATAAACAGGATGAAAAGTGTTGAGGATGATGTGCAGAAAACGAAACCTTTGTACACTGTTGGTGAGAATGTAAGTTATTGAAAACAGCCATTATGGAAAACAGTATGGAGATTCCTCAGAAAACTAAACATAGAACTACCATATAGTCCAGTATCTCACTTTTGGGTATATGTCCAAAAGGAAATAAGTATCATGAAGAGATAGCTGTATTTCCATGTCGTTGCCACATGATATGCGTAGCTGAGATACAGAATCAACCTCTGTCCCACAACAAATGAATGGATAAAGAAAATATGACATATATGCAGTGGAACACTATTCAGCCTTTAAAAAGAAGAAAATATTGTCATTTGTATCAACATGGATGAACCTGGAGGGCGTTATGTTGTATGAAATAAACCATGCACGAGGATTAATACCACATGATCCTACTTATATGTGGAATCTAGAAGAGGTGAACTCATAAAAGCAGAGAATAGAATATTGGTTTCCCAGGGTGGTGGTGGGTCATTGAGGAAATGTTGATCAAATGATAAAAAATTTCAGTTAGATAGGAGGAATAAGTTCAAAAGATTTATTGTACAACATGATAACTGTGGTTAATAACAATAAACTATTTTTTTAATTGTTGAGAGAAGATTATAAATGTTCTTACTACCAAAAATAAGTACGTGAGGTAATGCATACATTAATTAGCTCAATTTAGCCATTCCACAATATTCCAAAACATTATGTATAAAAAATATAAACAGTTCGTATTTTTTCGGTTACAAAAAAATATAGTGACAGGCCTTTCTATTCTTCAGACAGGACCCATACTGGCTTAAAAGGCTAATTTTGTCAAAGTATCTTGAAGCTGTATTTACTTCAGTGTTGATCCACAAGCACTCTCTCAGCCTCCAGATAGAGTTGCTGGCTATGGCTTTGTGAGTAAAAGTAAGTCCATACCCAAAAACAAGCATTACTTTTAATGGCAAAAAACACAATTGCTTTTGTGCCAATCTAATAGGAACTGTTTTACAACCCTGTTTTTTTCCCACAAAATATTATCTGTTCAAGGATTATTGTTATGGATACATACTGATGGCTTATTCATTTTAATTGCTTAAAGTTATACAGCTGAATGTATCTATTTTATTCCATTATTGATGGACAATTAGTCTCTCTAATTTTTCACTGTAATTGACGATGCTGCTATGAATCTCCATGGGTAAATATGATGGAAATCCTTAATAGAAAAAGTTCACACCTGGAGTATGCAACTGTCTTCCTCAGGGGCGTTTGAAAATATATATGTTCAGTTTGTTCATCATGATGGCTGAGGGATGCTGCTGGAAATTGTTACTAGGAGGCAAGGCATCCTTAACATCCTGCAATAAATATCTAAAACATGAAAGAATTAGCCATCCAAAACAACACAACTTTTCTTGTGCATAAACAGCTCTCTAGGTTGTGTGCTAGAAGTGAAATTGTTGAATGAGGTGGATTTAGTTAGTTTGGTGCTTACCTTCCATTTTAAACTTCGCTTGTTTACTTGACCATCTCACAATACCTGGGAAGTTGTATACTCACTTCTGTCTGTAGTTGCAGATGTGTTTTAGATTTCCCAGTTGGATGGTCACGTGGAGATTTGAAAGGAAAAAAAACGAGGTGAAGGCTGGGCTGCTCTGCTAACAAGTAGGCACAGAGACGTTTTCCTTGTTTTATTCTAGCATCAGACAATGTCCGACTTTCCACTGTCCCACCCAAGGGCAGGGTGCAGAGCACATTATTTTGCCTATGAACTAGCTGATGTGTTGCGGCCCTGGGGGTGACATTGTGGTGACAGCATCGTGCCCCTGGGATAACAGCTATCTAGTAGTATATTTCATTGGACCACATCCTGATTCCCCACTGAACTCATTGTGGCAGGGACAGCAGCATCCCTGGTAAGCCAGATAACAGACATTGCCTAGGAGTGATTCTTAAAAGCCCTGCCTAGGGTCTCTTCCTTCATACTCTCTGAAAATGTTATATGCCTCTACATTCATGTTTTGAATTGCTTTCGCTTTCAGATGTCTAGATGTGTTTTCGCAGTATTCAAATGAACCATGGCTGAAGCACTATGTTTTAGGAAATAGATACCTTTGCACTAGGTTTTGTCATATTGCTCTTCCAAATAATTGGACCACCTTATACCACCACGTATATGAGTTTATATTTCCTCACATCCTAACCAACATTTGAAATTGTGATAGTACTACTACTACTTCTCCTCCTCTTCGTCCTCATTATAGTTATTATAACTATTATCTGTCAATTCAATTATTGTTAAATGACACAGTGTTGTATCTATTTGAGAACCTGATTATTAATGATTGAGCAGTTTTACATGTTATTTATTTTCCATTTTTTATAAGTGCCTGATTATCTCCCTAATCTATTGTTCTATTGATTTTTTAAAATATTGATATGTAGAAGTTATCAGTACTCTTGCACCACTGTCTGTCATTGGCTGGAATCAGCCCAAGAGAGGTGTGATCTCAGTACATCTTAGCAATGGATTTCAGCATTCAGCAGCAGAGGTCCTGAGTCAGTTTTCGTCTCTGTGGTCAGAGGACAGTGCACATTCTTATGGCTGCCACACTCCTCCTCTTGCACTGTTCAGATCTACATTTTTACATGGGTGTAGGGAGGAGCTCCTCCATGTGTCTTTTGTGGCCCTCTTATCTGAGTAAAACTCAGAAAAACAAAGTGAATCTGATTAACTAGAGGCTTCATTGCTGCAGATGATCACAGGTCATCACTGACACTCATTCCCTCCCTTCTCCACTCTATATTTCCCTCACCCTCAGCTATCACTTCAGCAGGTCTAGGTGGCTCGTCTGGTGGTGCAACTCACACTTTTATCTCTGAGGGCTCTGAAGCTTTGATAGCCATTCTACTTCCAGGTCTACATTGCTGGACATATCCATGCACAGTTATAATGGAGCAAGGAAGTGCCAGGAAGGTGCCCAGTGTATCACCTCGGTTCCACAGGTATTTCTCCTTGCTCCCATCTTGTGTATAAGGAGCATTATCTCCTGCTGCTTCTGGTTAATTACCCCTGCCAATCTGGTGACACCTTTTATTGCCTGCTGTTCCCTGGGTGGAAGAAGTCCAAGGTGCCCAGGTAGCAAATGTAACTTTTAATTCAGTAAGATACTTAGCTGTGTCTCCTAGGTAAGATACTTAGCTGCTGTCCCTGGCACAATGAGTTCAGTGGGGAATCAGGATGTGGTCCAATGAAATATACTACTAGATAGCTGTTATCCCAGGGGCACGATGCTGTCACCACAATGTCAGTCCCAGAGCCGCAACAACAAGAGTGTACCTGTTTGGAGACCACGACCTTCAACCCTGCAGAGCCTAGAGTTATAGGGACATAAATCATAAATTCCTCCCATGAATCGTAAGGAGTCTTGGTAAGTGGAGCTATGCATGCTTCCATCTTTTGGTTTCTGAACACATGTATCCTTCCTATAGGGGACAGGGCACCATATAGAGAGATCTTTGTTTTAATAAGTACACAGTATTCTGAAGCGTGGCACCCAGTCATGGACCACTCCAGCATTTCCTTCACCACCTTCATCTCATGTCAGTCCCCTGATCTGCTGACATGTGTATAGGAGGCTTACAGAGTGTTGATCCACTGCACTCTCTAAGCCTTCCGATAGTGATGCTGGCTATGGCTTTGTGGGTAGAAGTAAGCCCATACCCAAAACAAGTATTTATCATAGCTTTGAGGATGAGTAGCACTGTTTTTGGGGTAGAAGCTACCCAATGTAATTTCTCACCAAGTAGTCAATTTCCTTGAGGAATAGTGCCATAATGGGTGTTAGCATTGGTCTCTGTTACTAAAAAGGAGAAATTCAGAGGTGTCAGTAGATCTGCCTTGGTTAGTGGGAGTTCATCTTTTTGGGCCCATTTATAGCCTGTGACTTTGTCAACATGATCACCCCATTCATGTATTCATCATGCCTATTGTGGGGTGGCTGATGACAAAGGCCAAGTCACAATGTCTATTTAATGGTTCAGTGTCTTTTCCATGATCTATACTTTCATGATGGGGTTAATGTGTAATGAAAATATCATTTTGTTCCCACCTCCATATGACCATACACATGCTTCTGTCTGGAAGATGTCTCCAAACTTCTAGTTCTTTTCCTCCTATAACCATGACATGACACCATTGCTCATTCTACAAAAATAGATGACTGGGTTAACTGTTCATAGCTCAGCCCATTTGGAAAATTATCACTCTTGGCCATTTTTAAGGGTCGCCACTGAATGAGGATATATAGTCACTGACCATTTTCAGTTTGTGCTCTCCCACTAAAGCTGAACTATCCATAAACCAAGTACAGCTGCTTCCTCTTCCTACAGCTGGATGCATAGAAACCCCCATATGGCTTTAAGTGCAAGAAGATGGAGAGACACTGGTGCAACTCCAGCAGATGACATAGGCTCTGAAAGTATGTACTCATGAGCAGAACTTGGGCCCTTTGATCTTGCTCAGATTCATTCCTTGATGTGCCATTTTCATTTATGATGGGAAGCTATTGCCAGGCCTATGTGACTTTATGACTTGGTGGATCTGATAGACTCCAACTCATAATGGGAAATTTCAAAGGCATTGCCACTTTGTGTCCCATGTTCAAGTGTTCGATCTCGAATAGGGCCCAGGGACATGTCAAACTACATTTATTTCTTAAAGTGCTTTAATTCTCTCTGGTGGATACCACAGCCCTGTATCCCAGGAGATGGCATTGTGATTCTCCCACTTGGGCTTGCTATGAGCTCCATATCACATTACTTCTGAACACCATAATGTCAGTGGAATCACATGGCCCAAGAGGCAGCACTGATGTCACTGCAACCTGGGTTTACTGCAGTGTTCTTCTCTACTCCAGGAAATCTGAGAGGTTTTCATCTTCTCTAGTAATTATTCTTACATGTGGGTATACTACCTGTGGACCCAAAGTGGTCTACCAGATACTTTGTTTCCTTGTTTTTGGTGGAAGATGCAAGATGCAGCAATTTGTCTCTTACTTTGA